>NC_000006.12:93058586-93209525 GCF_000001405.40 Homo sapiens | reverse complement strand
AAACGTTTTATCTATCATATTTCAAAAGGAGATCATGGAAGGTGTTTCCTTTAAAATGTATGCATTAAAATATTTGCCTTTCCAACAACTTATACTGCAAATATTTTCCCCTGTGTTTTCCATACATATTTCACTTTAAAATAAAAATCAAAGAGATGACCTTAAAATATATTACCATTGTTATTTTTTTAATATGCAAACATTTGCACAACCCAGACCACAAGTCATGTGAATAATTCACAATTTATCTTTTTTTTTTCTATTGGAGAGAGTATTATCTTCCATACTGCAAAGAATTTGGCTCCTTAGTCAATAATATTTAGCAAAGGAAGTGGAGGAATGTAGAGTGATAATCTGAGATGTAAGCGTGTTTCAGCTGCCACATCTCTGAAGCAATAATTCCTTTCTTCTGAGAAAATACAAAACTTTGTATAGGTTACCCACTGTTGTGTCACAAACAACCCTAAACTTTAGTGGCCTAAAAGAACAACTCATTTTTCTGTCTCATGGTTCATGGATTGACTTAGCAGTTCTTATTCAGAGTCCGTCATGTTGCAGACAGATGATGGTTGAGGCTAGAGTCATATGAAGGCTCAACTGAGTTGAATATCTAAGATGGCTCATTCATAAGGCTGGCAGTGTGGGCAGGCTGCTGGCTGAGAGCTTTTTTAGGACTGTTGAGTGAAACACATACATGTAAACTTTGCATATGTCTTTGGGCTTTAGACAACATGGCAATATGTCCCCAGAGCAAGCATTCTAAGAGGCTCAAAATAACTAAAAAACTTCTTATGATGTAGCCTCCAAGGTCCCAAAAGTCATTTTCACTATACTTTGTTAGTCAAGTAAGTTACCGGGAAAGTCCCTATTCACAGGGAAGGGCATTAGGCTCCACCTCTTGATATGAGACTCAGCATGTGTATAGGGACCAAGACTATCTACCAGTTGGCCTGTGGCTATTACAATTCATATCTCTCCCATATACAAAATACGCTCATCTCCATTTCAAGACACACATGTTCTCATTCCAGTACAATATTAGCTCAAAGTCCAGGAGCTCATCATCTAAATCAGGTCCTGGTATGATAAAGGTTTCTCAAGTGTAGTTACTTTCAGCGAAAGCTGTGAACTAAGGAGACAAGTTAGCTGGTTTCCTCACACCCACCACACAATGTGGCTGCAAGAATAGGACAAATGCAATAAACTCTTCAGTGAAAAAAGTTGGAGAGTATGGAATGGGAATAACGTAGCCGTCACTAGTCTAAAGCATTTCTGAATTCTAGCTAGGCATATTATGTCTTTTTTTGTTTGTTTGTTTGTTTTTAATCAGGCCCTGATTCTGTTCCATGGGAGTGATATGCTGTTTTAGTTTCTGCTCTCTGGACTTATGGTCTGTGTTTGTGACTTTCTCAGCCTACTTCCTATTATAGACTTTTTTTTCCTACTTGAATTGTCTCTTTAACTTTTATTTTTAGTAAAGAGAAACAAGTACAGGTTTGTTACATAGGTATACTTGTGTCATGGGGGTTTGTTGTACAGACTATTTCATCACCCAGGTATTAAGCCTGGTACCCATTAGTTATTTTTCCTGATCCTGTCCCTCCTCCTACCTTCCACCCTCTGAAAGGCCCGGGTGTGTGATGTTCCCCTCTCTGTGTCTATGTGTTCTCATCATTTAGCTCCCACTTGTAAGTGAGAACATCAACTGTTTCTTTTTCAATCCAAGATAGCGAGTAAAATTTCCTTGCAAACTTTATGTTTCTGATCAATCACATTAGTGTTCACTCTAATAAACATGAGTGGGATCTGCTGATCTCTTAGATACAAGTTCCTCTTTACCCTGACAGTCAAGGTGCTACAGGACAACACTCTTAGAATTTTTAAAAGTCCTTTTGTCTAGCAGAGTGTTCTAAAAAGCATGTCCTTTGTCTGCATTTGAATATCCAGTTTACCCAGCGCTATTTATTGAAGGAAGATACTGTCCTTTCCCTGATGTGTTCTTGGTGACTTTGCCAAAAATGAGTTGACCATAAATGTGTGGAATTATTTCTGGCTTCTCTATTTTTCTCCATTGGTCAGTGTCAGTTTTTATGCCAGTATCATGCTGGGTTTATTTATTTATTTCTAGATGGGTCTCACTATATTGCTCAGGCTGGTTGCAACCTCCTGAGCTCCTGCTTCAGCCTCTCAAGTATCTAGGACTATAGGCACATGCCACCACACCTAGCTACCATGCTGTTTTTGTTACTACAGCTTTGTAGCATAATTTGAAGTCAGGTAATGTGATGCCTCCAGCTTTGTTCTTTTTGCTCAGGATTTATTTGTCTATTCTGGGTCGTTTGTGGTTCCATACAAATTTTAGGGGCTTTTTTCTATTTCTGTGAATAATGTCATTGATATTTTGATAGGGATTTCATTGAATCTGTAGATAGCTTTGGATAGTAGGGACATTTTAATAATATTGATTCTTCTAATCCACAAACAAAATATCTTTCCTTTTTTGTGAGTTCTCTTCGATTTCTTTCATCAATGTCTTACAGTTTTCATTGTAGAGGTTTTTCACTTCTTTGGATAAGTTTATTCCTTAACCAAAGAGTTTTGTTTTATTATTAGCTATTGTAAATGGGATTACATTCTTGGTTTCTTTTTCAGATTGTTCACTATCGGCATACAGAAATACTACTAATTTTTTTGTATGTGGATTTTGTATCCTGCAGTTTTACTGACTTTATCTGTTAATAGTTTTTTGGTGGCATCTTAGGTTTCTATAAATATAAGATCATATAACCTGCAAGCAAAAATAAATTGTTTTCTTTTTTTCCAATTTGGATGCATTGTATTTCTTTCTTTTGTCTAATTGTTCTGGCTAGGACTTCTAGTAATATGTTGAATAGAAATGGTAAAAGTGGGTATATTTGTCTTGTTCCAGATCTTAGAAGGAAGGCTTTCAGTTTTTCCCTGTTTAGTATGATACTATCCATGGGTTTGTTATATATGGCCATTCCATTACTGTGTTAAGGTATGTTCCTTTTATATACAGTTTGTTGAGAATTTTTATCATGAAGGAATGTTGAATTTTGTCAAATTCTTTTTTTAACTACTGAAATAATCATATGGTTTTTGTCCTTTATTCTGCTGATGTGATGTATCACATTTATTGATTTACATATATTGAACCATCCTTGCATCCACAGGATGAATTCCACTTGGTCATAGTGAATGATCTTTGAATGTGTTGTTGAATATGGTTTGCTAATATTTTGTTGAGGTTTTTTGCATCTATATTCATCAGAGAGATTGGCCTGCAGTTTTCTTTTTCTATTGTGTCTTTGTCTGGTTTTGGTATCAGTGTAATACTGGCCATACAGAATGAGTTTAATAGTGTTCCCTTCTTAATTTTTTTGGAATAGTTTGAGTATCACTGGTATTACTTCTCCCTTAAATGTTTGGCAGAATTCAGCAGTTAAGCCATTAGATCCTGGGCTTTTCTTTGATGGAAGACTTTTCACTACTGCTATCTTGTTTCTTATTATTGATCTAGTCAAGTTTTATGTGTCTTCGTGGTTCAATCTTAATAGGCTATATGTGTCTAGAAATTTATTTATACACCAAAATCAAATCAAAATGGAGTAAAGATTTAAATGTAAGACCTGCAAGTATGAAACAACTAGATGTAAACATTGGAAAATTTCTCCAGGACATTAGTGGTCAGAGAAAAGAATCCTTGAGTAAGACCTCAAAGGTAGAGGCCAAAGCAAAAATGGACAAATGGGATTATATCAAGCTAAAATCATCTGCACAGCAAAGGGTACAATTAACAAAATGCAGAGGCAATCTACAGAATGAAATAAATTATTTTCAAATTATTCAATTGACAAGGGATTAACAACCAGGGCACACAAGGAACTCAAACAACTCAACAGCAGAAAAAACAAATTATCCAGTTAGGAAATGAGCAAAAGATCTGAATAGATATTTCTCAAAAGAAGATATATAAATTGCCATCACGTATATGAAAAAATGCTTGACATCACTAATCATGAGGGAAATGCAAATCAAAACCACAATGAGATATCATCTTATCCCAGTTAGAATGTGACTGTTATTAAAAAGACAGAAAAGTAATAGATGCTGGTGAGGATGCAGAGAAATGCTAACTGTTATACACTGTTGGTGGGAATACAAATTAATACTGCCACTATGGAAAACAGTATGAAGATTTCTCAAAAAAAAAACCAAACTAAAAATAGAACTACCATATGATCTAGTAATCTATTACTGGATATATATCCAAAGGAAAAGGAATCGATATATTAAAGGGATACCTACATTCCTGTGTTTATTGCAGCACTATTCACAATAGCAAAAATCTGGAATCAACCTATATGAACATCAATAGATGAACAAATTTAAAAAGTGGTACATATACACAATGGAATATTATTCAGTCATAAGTAAGAATGAAATCTTGTCATTTGCAACAACATAATGAAACTGGAGAACATTATGTCAAATGAAGTAAGCCAGGTACAGAAAGCAAATGTCATATGTTCTCACACATATGTGAAAGCTAAAAAATTGATCTCATGGAGATGGAGAGTGTAATGATGGTTACTAGAGACTGGGAAGGGTGGTGGGGAGGGGGAAATAAAGAAGGGTTGGTTAATTGGTACACAAATACAGTTAGAAGAAATAAGATCTAGTGTTTGGTGGCAAAATAGGGCAACTATAGTTAACAATAATTTATATATATAAATAAATATTTTTGTATATTTTAAAAGAACTAGAAAAGTGGGCTTAGAGTGTTCTTAGATTGTGTTAGATTGTAACACAAAGAAATAATAAATGTTTAAGGTGATGAATATCCCAATTACCCTGATTTGATCATTGAACATTGTATACTTGTATCAAAATATCACAGGTACTGCATAAATATGTACAACTATAATGTATCCATAAAAGTTAAAAATGTGGTCATTCAGGACTACTCAGAAAAAAATTTTAAAAATTGGGAAATTATATCTGCAAGATTCATGGATGTTTCATTGTTTATTTCTTAGAGGGTCTTTGAACATATTCTTAAATTTTTCTAAGCTCCAATAAAGGATTGTAGAGTTGCACCCTTGACTTTGTCTTTACCATGAGGCCATTTCTTGCTTCGAGAAATTTTCACTGGCTAGAAAGACAATCCTGGGCCTTCTATAATTCCAGTTTAAACTTCTTTCTCTCTCTTTTATCATTTGCTGCTTTAAAAAAAAAAAAAAAGTTGTTACTTTCATCATTCTGCCTAGAAATCTCCTTAGCAAAAATAATAGGTTGGCATATTCTATTTTCTATGTTCTCATAGGTAGATAACTGTTGCCCAACTTCCTTCCATTATATAACAAGAGGGCACCTCTTCTACAGTTCTGATAATGACGTCCTTCATTCTTCACAAATAGTCTTCTCAAGGCTCTTGTATCTTCTGCCTGGCTTCCAGTCTCAAAGCAATGCTAATTTGTTTCAATTTTTTGTTGCAGCGGGACCTCATTTTGAGACATAAATTCTGTTTTAGTTATGTATTTCTGGGAAAAAAATTACTTGAAATATTAGTGGCTTGTAACACCCAGTTTACTTTGCTCACAGCTTTGAAGGTCAGGAACTTGGGAATAATTTGACTGGGAGATTTGTCGCTGATTTATATGTAGTCATTCAGAGCATCTAGGCCAGAAGATGAACTTCCAAGATGAGCTCTTCACTCATATGTCTGGTGTCTCAATTTTCCTCATCCTTTCCCTTGTGGTTTCTCATCCTCCAAGGCCTTGCCGCATGTCTTGGGCTGTTTACAGCGTGGTGTTCTCAGGTAGTACCACTTATTACATGGCACATAGCTTCCAAAAGGAAAGAAGCAGAAGCTCCGAGGTCCATGTTCAGAACTGGCTCAGCATTATCTGCTGCATTCTATCAGTCAAATAAGTCATAGAGTCCATCATTCTGGTAGACAGTGAACTGGAGAAATAGACACCTTTTTTTTTTTATGTGAGAATGCTAAGGTGTCATTGCACAAGGGTAGTTAACTTAGGAGATAGAGTCATGAGCATCTTTGAAAAGTACAGTCTGCCACTCTCTCTTTGATGTTCTGGCCAAAACCGTCACTCCACAGTACCTCATAACTGAATTCTACCACCCATCAAAGCTATTCAATGCCTTACCAAAAGGTTGATGATATCTTATTCCAATTAACATAAAATTAGCTTCTAATAAAAAGAGACACTTTATTATACTGAGAACCTTATTTTTAAGAAAAAATTTAGATTCTAAATGCAGGCTTAATGCTCCATCAAAAACTTACTCCTCTGTAATTTCTCTAAAATGTAATAAAATATTAGAAGAGCACAAGAATTATCAGATTAAAGGAGATGAGTTCAAGTTTGTTCTTGACCTAAAATGTGTGATCCTAAGATGTAAAACAATATTTACAAGTTTCTGTATGAAAAGAGAGATCCAAAAGTTTTTTTATACAATTTAGCCATCTGCATTTACTTCTGACAAAACTTTAACAATCAGAAGATTGCCAAGTAATCTGTGAAATGCATAGTATTCAGCATATATCTACATATATTATTGTAACTTCATCATGATTTTTAATTTTTCTCAACTTCTAACTTTAAGAATTTTCTTTATACAATGGCATAAACTTACCATAGAAACAAAATCCAATTTTGGTTTAAAGAGGATGTTACTATGAAATGGCCACAAATAAGTTAACACTTCCCTCTGTTTGAATGATAATATTTTGATAACATTTTATAGCAACCAAAGAATGAAAGAAAATCTGTTTTAAGCTTTTGTCTTTTAATCCTGTTGATCAGGATTTATTCATAGCTGTTCCAATGTCAAAATAGCATGAACTGTTTTATTTATTTTATACTAGATACTCCTATAACCTAATACTATTTTGGGCCATTTTCTTCTGAAAACTGCATTGTTTAATATTATCGAAAGGAAATCAGCATGTGTAAGATGTACTGATTGGAATTTTTTTCCACCGTGGCATCCATTCATAGGAAAAAGGAAGACTATTTTATATATAGCTATGCTAGACTGATGTGCATACCATCTAAAAGCAAGCCTAATTTTACCATGGTCTGGTGAAACACCAGGCTATGGTAATTCTTGAGAGTGAAACCTCACACAGGATTCAGGAGCTTGTGGGACCCACTACCAATATGGGAATATGAGATCAGAGAGTGTATGTTTAGCATAAATGGAGGACACCTGGGATTTGGAAGTCATAGTGTTAGAAATTCTATTATTGGCCTTACTGAGTTAGGACTATTATTTTTCTAGGCCTCCTTTCTCTTCCTCTTCCTCTTCTTTTCCTCCTCCTCCAACTTCTTTTAACATTGCTTGAAGGTTTTAAAAGTTTTTAATAATTTCTTTATCAACAGCTGTATTAAAGAATATTTACATATAATAAATAGCACCTATTTAAAGTAAAAATCTGATGAATTTTGACATGTGACATATATCCAAAAAACCATCACCACAATAAAAATAATGAACATCGCTTCACTCCAAAAAGTTTTTTCATGTATCTTTGTAATCCCTTCAAAATCCCATGCAACCTCCCATCCTCAGGCAATCACTTATCTGTTGTCACTGTAGATAAATTCACATTTTCTAGCATTTGATAAAAATGGAAGCATATAGGATGCACTTCTTTTTGTCTGGCTTCTATCACTCAGCATAACTATTTTGATTTTCATCCATAGTATTGAATATATCAATAATTCATTTCTGTTTATTATTATGTAATATTTCATTGATGGATATAACACTATTTTTTATTCATTTTCTTGTTTAAGGATATTTGAGTTGTCCAGGTTTTTGCTATTACAAATAAAGCACTATGTATAATTGAATACAATTATTTGTATGAATGTAAGCCTTCCTTTCCTTTGGGTAAATATCAAGAGTGCAATAGATGGGTCATATGGTCAGAGTATGTTTAACTTTTCAAGAAAGTATCAAATTGTCTTTCAGAGTGCTTGTACCATTTCACATTCCCAACAGCAGTGTGTTAGTTCTAGGCCCTTCACATTCTCATCAACACTTACATCATCAGACTTTCAAATTTTAGACATTGTAATATGTGTGTAGTAGTAGTAGCTTATTCTGGTTTTCCCCGGTGACTAATGAGGTTGAGTGTCTATTGTATGCATATTTGCCATCCATACATCTTTTTTGAAGAAGCGTTTGTTCAAAACCTTGGCCTATTTAATATATTGAGACTATTCTTTTTAAAAACAGTTTTCATTGTAAATAAAAAATAATTTTTATTTTTATAAATAAAAAATAAAAGTGATGTTTATTATTTTTATTGTGGTGATGGTTTTGTGGATATATGTCACATATCAAACTCATCAAATTTTTACTTTAAATAGGTGCTATTTATTATATGTAAGTATTATTTAATACAGCTGTTTTTAAAGAAACTATTACAAACTTTTAAAACCTTCAAGCAATGTTAATTTTATTTTTATAAATAAATATGATTTTTATTTATAATTGATACATAATTGTACATATTTATGGGGTACAAAGGGATGTTCAATACATGTATACAATGTGTAACAATAAAATCAGAGTAATTTCTCCATCCATTACCTATAAATTTTATCATTTCTTTGTGGTGATAACATTGAAAATTTTCTCTTCTAGCTATCTTGAAATATACACCACATTGTTAACAAATATAATGTATTTGCTATAGTCACTGTGCTGTGAAATAGAACGCCAGAACTTATTCTTCCTGACTGTAACTTTGTACCTGTTTATTGGGGACTATTCTTGTTGAGTTTTAAAAGTTCTTTATATATTCTAGATAAAAGTCCTTTATCAGCTGTATATTTTGCAAATATTTTCCCCAGTCTTATCATTCTCTTAACAGTGTCTTTTGAAGAGCAGTTTTAAATTTTGATGAAGTTCAATTTATAAGCTTTTCTTTTATGTATTATTATTTCTGATGTTATAGCTAAGAAATTGTTGCTTAATTCAAGGTCACAAAGATTTTATCTTATGTGTTCTTCTAGATGTTTTATAGTTTGGGCTTTACATTTAGGTTGGTAATACATTGTGAGTTAACTTTTTATATGGTAGAAGTTATGTCTCAATTGTTTAATATAGATATATAGTTACTTCAATACCATTTTTTGAAAAGACCATCTTCTCCACTCAGTTTCTTTGAACCTTTGTCAAAGCTCAATTGTCCATCTACATGAGTCAGTATCTTGAATATTCATTCAGTTGTATTGATCTATTTGTCTATCTCTATGTTGAGACAATACATTGTCTTGATAACTGTCTTAGATAGTGTTAGTACTCCTACTTTGTTCGTTCTTTACAAATGTGTTTTGGATATTCAAGGTCATTTGCATTTCCATATGAATTTTTTAATCAGCTTGTCGACTTCTATTTCACATTTATTATAAAAAACTTAACATTAGTATACTTTATTACCCCCCTCCCAGTCTTGGTGCTATTATCATATTTCACTTTTAAATACATTATAATCCCCACATTATGTTATTATTAATAATAGGGATTACAGGACAGCCCATACACAATTGAATCTAGCATCATTTGATGAAAAGATCCAATAACAAAAAGTTGGGAAACATGTAAAATAATAACTTGGGTTAGAGGTTATGCTTGTATTTCTCCAGGCAAAAATCAACAGCCAATTTGGATATCATCAAGACACCTGAAACCTTATTATGAGCCAGATGCTGAGGAAGAGACTCCGTGAGGATCCCGAGGACTCCCCAGTTGCAGCCATGTCGAGGCTGACACTGAGGAGGACCCCAACTGTCACGAGCAACACCCGTCAAACACAGCCACCCACCTGGGGACAGATCAAGAAGCTGTCACAGATGGTGGAAGAAAACCTGAGGAAAGCGGGACAACCAGTCAAAATGAGTAATTTAATGGTAGCTATGATAGCGGTTATCTCCACTGCCGTGAGTATTCCTTCAATAAAGGCTGGTAATAATGCCTGGATGCAATCACTCTAGGACACAGTTACACATGCTTTCTGATCTCAGTATTTACCATAATAAATCTGCTCCTATAATTGAGGCATACCGCCCTCAAAAACCTATTTGTAAACAGGATTGGACCCAGTTAGAAAAAATGAACGTACTTTTTTAGGAAGATTGCATTGCAGAACAGGCAGAGGTGCTGCACAACTATTCCTATGGGAACATTATTAATTGGTCCCCTAAGGGGATGTTTAGCTTAAATTGCACCTCTCTGCGTGCCATGGCCACACTATGTTCAGATGATCTGAACAAAACAGTCAGATGGTAGAAATGATAAGAAGTACGGCAAAAGTTCCTATTAACTGGAACCATGGCGGTATAGTGGCCCCTCAACCTCGAATGATATGGCCTGTTCTAGGAGCTAAACAAGGATTTGTGGAAACAATCAAATGCTCAAAATGTGGGAAAGAATAAAAAAGCATCTAGAAGGACACACTACAAACTTGTTTTTGGATACAGCAAAATTAAAAGAACAAATATTTAAAGCATCCCAGGCACACCTGACCTTAATGCCAGGAACTGGAGTGCTTAAAGGAGCTGCAGACAAATTAGCAGCCAGTAACCCATTAAAATGGATAAAAACACTTGGAAGCCCTGTGATTTCAATGATGACTGTGCTTATAATCTATGTTGTTTGTCTTTGTATAGTCTGCAGATGCAGATCCGACTCCTGTGAGAAGTAGCTCACCGTGACAAAGCTGCCCTTGCTTTTACCTCTTTGCAAATCAAAGAAGGGAGACATGTTGGGAGCAAGCCCCCCAAAATCTGGCCGTAAACTGGCCCCAAGACTGGCCACAAATAAAATCTCTGCAGCACTGTGACATGTTCATAATGGCCATAACGCCCAAGCTGTAAGGTTGTGGTTTTACGGGAATGAGGGCAAGGAACACCTGGCCCGCACAGGGCGGAAAACCGCTTAAAGGCATTCTTAAGCCACAAACAATAGCATTAGCGATTTATGCCTTAAGGGCATGTTCCTGCTGCAGTTAACTAGCCCAACGTATATCTTTAATTCCGCCCAACCCTTCATTTCCCATAAGGGATACTTTTAGTTAATCTAATATCTATAGAAACAATGCTAATGACTGGCTTGCTGTTAATAAATACGTGGGTAAATATCTGTTTGGGGCTCTCAGCTCCAAAGGTTGTGAGACTCCTGATTTCCCACTTCACACCTCTATATTTCTCTGTGTGTGTCTTTAATTCCTCTAGCACTGCTGGGTTAGGGTCTCCCTGACCAAGCTGGTCTCGGCAATTAATATATTTGTTTAAAGAGCTATCTTTTAAAGATATTTAAAACAACAAATCTTATATATTTTCTCTCATAGTTACAATTTCAGGTGGTCTTTATTACTTTTGAAGAAAGATATTTCCATCTGGTGTTATTTTTCTTTTGCCTGACTTTACTTTTCTTGGACTGCAGTTCTATTTGTGATGAATTATTTCAGCTTTTGTATAAAAAAAATCTTTAGGCCGGGCGCGGTGGCTCACGCCTGTAATCCCAGCACTTTGGGAGGCCGAGGCGGGCAGATCACGAGGTCAGGAGATCGAGACCATCCCAGCTAAAACGGTGAAACCCCATCTCTACTAAAAATACAAAAAAAATTAGCCGGGCGTAGTGACGGGCGCCTGTAGTCCCAGCTACTTGGGAGGCTGAGGCAGGAGAATGGCGTGAACCCGGGAGGCGGAGCTTGCAGTGAGCCGAGATCCCGCCACTGCACTCCAGCCTGGGCGACAGAGCGAGACTCTGTCTCAAAAAAAAAATAAAAATAAAAAATCTTTATTTTTCCTTCATTTTTGAAATGTATTTTCACTGGATATTGAATGGTGGTGGACAGGCCTTTATCTTTCATTACTTTAAAGCTGGTACTCCTTTTACTTTTCACCTGCATTGTCTCAATCATCTTTGTTACTATGTCTATGATATGTCTTTTCTTCTCTGGTTGTTTTTAAGATTTTCTCTTTATCACTGGTTTTAAGCAATTTGATCATGGTTGACTTGGTGTAATTTTCTTTATCTTTCTTGTGCTTGGATTTTTGTGGGGGTTAATAGTTTCTATCAAATTTGGAAAATTGTTAGTCATTATCTCTTCAAATTTTCTTGTCCCCATCTTCCTCTTTTAGGTACACATGTGTTAGGCTGTTTGGTGCTGCCCACAGCTTACTGATGCTGCATTCATTTTTTAAAAAATTATGTTTTGTCTTTGTTTCATTTTGGATAGGTCTTATTGTGGTGTCCTCAGATCACTAATCATTTTTTCTGCGCTGTTTAATCTGCTGTTAATCTGATCTGATATATTTTTAATTTCAGGTATTAGAGTTTTCACATCTAAAATTTTCATGAGTCTTTTTTTATTGTCCATGTCGCAACTTAAGTTTTTGGACTACAAAATGTTAAGTAGAGACACAGACAATAGAAATATGGACTACAGTTGTAATAGCTGTTATAATGTCATTGTCTGCTGTTTCTAACATCTATTTCAATTCTAGGTTGTTTTCAACTGATTATTTTTTTTCTCATTATACATCCTGCAATCCTGTTTCTTTGCATTCCTCACATTTTCTGATTGAATGCCAAACATTGTGAACTTTCTTGGTAAGGTTGTGAATATTTTTGTATTCCTATGAGTATCTTTGAGTTTTGTTCTGGAACACAATTAAGTTATCTGAGAATAGTCTATTTTTTTCAGTTCTTGGTTTTAAGATTTTTGAGAGGGACCAGATCTGTATTTAGTCTAATTTTCCCCTATTACTGAAACAAAACGCTTCTGACCACTGCAGCCAATGCCTCATGAATTATAAGAATATCCAGTTTGATTGATAGGAGTAGGCACTGTTCCCAGCCTTGGATGAGCTCCTAGAACTGTTCTGTCTAATCCTTTTTGGGTATTTCTTTCCCTGGTGTTGGGTAGCTTTCTCATTTTTAGATGTGCTATACTAGGCTGCATAATCAAGAAGCACCAGCCTCCAGGGTTCTCTGTCTGTGCAGCACTCTCTTGTCCAGCACTCTCTTCCACAATCTCTAGCACCTTGGTATCCCAAGACTCTCAGCTTTGTCTGTCCAAATCAGAAAGTCTGAGAGGTCCCTTCATGTCCCCCTTGCTGAACCACAACCTGGAAACTCTCTGAAGCCGAAAGCTAAGGCAATTATAGGGCTAACCTTGTTTATTTCCCATCTCTCAGGGATCATCATTCTTTCTTGCCTAACATTCAGTGTCTTGAAGTCCATTTTTTCAAATTTCTTCTTATTTTTAAAACGGTTTTGTTTCGGTAGGTATAGAAGTTTGTCCTCTGTTATTCCATTTTGGCTTGAAAGGAAATTTTGGCTTTTTCTCTTTATGTTAGAAAACAACACTCACCTCTAACTAGTCTGGGCAAAGTGTCTTTTATCTGTCTTAGATTAAGAAAAACAAACATAACAAACAAACATATATAAACCTAAAAATTATCCAGTGTTTAAAAGAGAATTTAAAACCATTTTGAACATTTAACAGAGAGACATAAAAAGTACCAGAGAGGAATTCCATTCACAACTCACATATCTCTCCAAGTCTAGCTTCTTGTAGCTCAGCTGGGTTCCAGCCACCTAGCACTCATTCTGCCCTAGAACTATCCCCAGACACAGCTGAGAAGGAGGGTCTCTTTTTCTCCGCACCTTTTCTTTTCTTTCTTCTATCTATATGGTTTGATGTATCTGCCTTTCTAATGGAAATCAATAGAGATTTTCTAGTCTTCTTTCAAATTTTCTCTCCACCAACCTCATAGGTGTAGACTTAAAAGTTCTGCCTTCAGAAAGGGTAAAAATTAAAACATGGTTAAGTGCTGTGTGTATGTATATGTGTGTTCATGTGTTTGTGAGAGACAGAAAAGGTTGTGAACATGTATATTTTAATTTTTCTTTTATATTTGTCATAATCTTCTACCTAGAAAAGTAATAGAGTTAATCACCCTCATAATTAGACAAATAGCATTTCTGTCTGGTCCTGGTTTCCTGATTATTAAGGTATCTTCCGGCTTTAAAAATCTGAAGGTCGTTGTGGGTTGTATGACTTCCAATCCTTCTATATGGTTCTAAAGGCATTTATAGAGGACTGAAGACCTGAAATGACAGGAAATATCTCTGTGTGACATGACAAGAAGGGAGGGACCTTGAAGAGCCATTGCATATTTTCCCCTAGGATCACCCTATCTGGGAGAGCTACATTTGTGCTCAGGGCCACCACAGACCTCCAGTTTAAAGGTTAGACAAGAGTCTTCAGGGGAAGGTTTAAATTTACACCTTCTTGACAGTCTGAAATAAATGGCCCTGGCTTGATCCCTACTACTGAACTAAGCAGAGATAAAAGTCTGCTCAGAGTAACCAGTCATGTGTAGATATGGGGCTGAGAAAGCTTTGCTTAGAAGAATACCTGAGAAGGCAAACTCTTTTAGGAAGAGTTGTCTTCCTAAAAGCTTCCTCACATGATTTCATGTTGTAATAACATCTGTGTCATGTCTTTTCTATAAAAGAGAATCTTCAAACTAAAATAGTAAAACAGGTTAAGCATGAATTTAAATTCAGGCTAGGAGAGAAAAAAATGTTATGCATGAAGATAAGACAGCACTTAAATATTTTAAATTCATATCTTTAGGCAGAAACAAATTAAATCCCAGTTTAGTGTAACAATTCACATATTGATTCAGTAAATATTTATTGAGTGCCTACCAAGTGCCAGCACTGTTGTAAATGTTTGCTCATACAGCAGGGAGTAAAACAGATAAAGATCCTGCCCTCAAAGTACTTTTCTTTGTAATTGTGATTGTAAAAGTATTATCTTTACTCTTTGAAGTATCATAGGGAATGGGAAACTGCCAGATGACTGGAGATGCCAAATTCCTTCTTAATATTCAAAAGAAAATGGCAGCAGCAGAATTCAGAAACTGCATCCTGGGTGACAACCCTGGGTAAAATTAGAGATTAGATTTGAGTCCTTAAAAGAAGAAAAAGGAATTACTTAACAAATGCCCAATTAGACTAGTCATATTAACAGTCTTGCTTCATTTTAACATTGAGTTATGATACAAGAAAATCAGGAGAATTCTATGTGCAAAGTACACCTTGATTTCAGCAGGGCATTTCTCAGTATTTCCACATTACTTTGAGGCTAGATAAAAAGGCTGACTGAATAAGCACTCCCTAAGAATCTAGATTTAATGGATTATTACCAAGTTGGAAGGAAATTTAAAATTTTTTAGCTGATATAAATGTATCTTCTCCTAATCTATCTTGACATAAAAATAAACTTAATAGTGAAACACAGGCACAGGTATGTAGTAGGATAAAAATATACCTCACACCGTTTATATGAGGATTAAGAGTTCTGTGCTTGTCACATCATAGGAACTTTATAAATATCACTCTGATCCTCCACTCCCTGGCTCAAAACATAATATTTACTTTTCAGCCTGTTCCTGAATATGTGCTTAGCTATCACTATTACTAAAACAGAATATAAGAATACAGGTTGAGTATCCTTTATTCAAAATGCTTTGGACCAAACGTGTTTCAAATTTCACATTTTTTTTCCAATTTTTAAAATATTTGCATACATATAATGAAATATCATAGGAATGGAACGCACATTTAAATGTAAAATACATTATGTTTCATATAAAACTTATACAATTAGCCTGAAGGTAATTTTATGCAACATTTTTAATAATTGTATGCATTTGTCATATGAGATCAGGTATGAAATTTTCCACTAGTGGAGTCATGTCAGCACTCAGAAAGTTCATAATTTTTTAGTGTTTTGGATTTTGGATTTCAGAATTAGAGATACTCAACCTGTACTATAATTTGAACTTTGATAATATCTGGTGTTCTATTAGTTTTAAAATGATGTAGGGGCACTCTTTACATATTATATTACATGAAATTATTTAAATTTTAAATGTAGTATGTATACTAATTTTAAAACACAGATAACTTATTGACTTTTAATAATAATATTTTTGACATAATGAGAGTTCAAAATATATAAATAATTCACTTTAAAATACCTACATTTTCTCATAAGGTGAAAACAGAAAATATACTTAGTCATGTTTTCAAAAAAATCTACATGTTTGGTTTATCTTTTCTGTGAATGTTAACACCTAAATAATATGCTCCCAAAGATATGTATAAAAAAATGCTCTTTGCATCATTGAAGCCAGAAAAAAATTGTGACTTTAGGAGAGTGGTTATGTAAATTTTAGTACATCTATACAATGAATTATAGAAAACAATAAACAGTAAGAATGTGAACCTATAAATATTGATATGGAGTGATCTCAAGAAAACTATGGAAAAGTCTCACCACAACACAATTTATTTCCAAATAATGTAAAAAAGCAAAAAGCCAAGACATATGTACATCTGTGTGTGTGTGTGTGTGTGTGTTTGCGCATATATGCAGGCAATAAAGTAAAGGAAGAGGGGCTAGAAGGTGGTACTTAATTATTTTGTAGTGATTACCTCTGATGATGTAAGAAGGAATCAGTATGGTAGAAGTGAATGGGACATTTATATTTTCTTCTCATTTCTTCTATATTGATCACATCTTTGAAAAATTTTTATTATACTTTAAGTTCAGGGATACATGTGCAGAAGGTGCAGGTTTGCTACACAGGTATACACGTGCCATGGTGGTTTGCTGCACCCATCAACCCATCATCATCTATATTAGATGTTTCTCCTAATGCTATCCCTCCCCTAGCCCATCACCCCCTGACAGGACTTGGTGTGTGATGTTCCCCTCCCTGTGGATCACATCTTTTATAGAGGCCTGGCACGGTGGCTCACACCTGTAATCCCAGCAATTTGGGAGACCGAGGCAAGCCGATTGCTTGAGGTCAGGAGTTCAAGACTAGCCTGGCCAACATGGTGAAATCCCGTCTCTACAAAAAACACAAAAAATTAGCTGTGTGTGGTGGTGGACACCTGTAATCCCAGGAACCCACAAAGCTGAGGCACGAGAATTGCTTGAGTCCGGGAGGCACAGGTTGCAGTGAGCCAAGACTGCACCATTGCACTCCAGCCTGGGCAACAGAGTGAGACTCCATCTTAAAAACAACAACAACAACAAAAACTTTTATAGAAAAATGCATGCATGTATTTCTAGTATAAAATAATTTTTTAAAAGCACTGATATTACTTATAGGGATTTAATGTAAAAGAATAACCAATCTTCAGAATTTTTCATCAAGAGAAGAATCCTTTAAGCCAGACTACCAGGAGAATAATCAAGGACTCAAATCCAAATTATGAATTCATTGTTTGAAAAGAATAATGAAATAATACTCTCATGATTAAAATTTTCTTCAAAAGTCTAATTTGCCTATACAAAGAAGCAATTTTGCCATTTGCAATTAGTCTTCTTTAAACAATATGAGCAAATATAATTATCGTAATTTCTTTTCTACTATTGTTTCACAAGAAAAGATCTAAACCAACAATATAAAAGTGGAAGATTCATTAATTTTATTTTATATTATCATTTCAATTAATTTGCCTAGATTGATCCTCAAAATAGAGTAAGAGCTCATCTTCTACTTTTAATATTTACAAAGGGAATTCAGGCCCTAATCTTGATTGTAATCATGGTATTCTCCTTTGTCACCTCCTATTCCTCTTCGTTTTTCTTTCTTTCTTCCCCTTCTCTTCCTTCCTCTCCACTTCCTCCTGCTAATACTTCTTCAAATGGCAATTCTTTTATTCATTGAATATGAACATTCTACCAAATTGGAATATGTAGAATGGATTTACCTGTTACTCATATTAACTGAATCAGCATCAGTGAAAACATTTTTAAATATTCTCAAGAAAATCTTTAGAGAAACCGCCCTCAAGTTCAGTGTCCCCAGCAATACCTCCACCATATATTCCTGCCTTTACCTTTTTTCATTTTTGTCTCATGAAATATCAGCATTTCTGAATGTAAAATAAAAGTTCTGATGTGAATCAATTATTTCACTTGAATTTAGATATGTTCCAGAGAAACTAACTCGTCCTTTCTCAGGGCAATGCCTTTGTTGTTGCTGTGTCAAAAATGTCATCTCCTCCTGCTAGAGAGACCTGTATCATTCGGAACAGGTCGTAACGTTTCTGTCTATCTTAGCAAGTTATATCATCTTTTAAAGAGGCTGTCAGTTGGGTCATAGGTCACTTGAAGCACTTATTTTGTAAATTGTGGATGTTTTATTCTTTCAGAGGTGCCAGAGCACTTTGTTCTTGTTCCTTTATAAATTTTGCTAAGAAAAAAAGAGCTGTCATAAATCACCTTCTTTGACTTTCACTGGGTCAAGATTGTATGTTTCAACTTTAAGAAACAGTTAACTACCACATAGATTTATTTATTCTTCCTATTATAAAGAAATAGTCAAATAGAAAAAAAAGATATGTGACCATCTGTGTGATAAGCACATTCCTGTTACAGTAATTGTGTAGACAATTACTCCCCATATCAATCTACCTGGAGAGGGCCTCTTTGTCCTACTCTTTGGGTATAGGTACAAGACTTCTCCATTTTTTTATACCCCATTAATTCCAGGCTCCATCAAAGTTCTTCTCATGCTCTCAGAGAGGAGAGAGAGAGAGAGAGATCTTCCAGACTTGAACTTGACAAGTATTCAGCTTTAGTTGAGTTCCATTGTGACCATGTGCATATTTTAAACATTTAAAAAATATTAGTTCAGAGAAAACAACTTATGACTTGGCTCTGCATAGATCTCAGCCCTTTGATAAAAATGCAGAAGCAGAGAAGTGCTAAGCATGACTGAGGCTAAATTTTCAACCATCTCATTTGAAATCAGCATTTAAGTGGAATTAGAGAAAATAAAGTGATTAGAGAAAATAAAGTTATTTCATCTCCTCCTGCTAGAGAGACCTGTATCTTTTGGAACAGGTCATTTGAAATAGAGAAAATAAAGTGATGCTTTATTTATTAGCAAATATTTGCTGAGTGTCTACTCTGTTATAGGCAAGGTTTAAAGTGGCAGAAAGAAAGGTGAAAGCAAGAACAGGCAAAAATTGTTGGCCTCATGGAGTGTAAATTCTGGTGCACACCTGTGACTGTGGACTGAGAAGCTACCATGTCAAACCTGCTTGGGGTTTTCTAACGATCCTCCCAGGCTGCATGTCCTTAATGATGTCCAGTTATCACCCTAACACTATGCAGAGATGACTGTAAATTTTCTGAAGCAACTATGTACTTGGAAATACTATAATGAATATAAACATAAACATGAAAGCGAAAAAAAAACTTTAAAACACTTGGGCATATAAAGTGTGGTAAGTATATGACAAAATAAAGACCTGTGAGAATTTTTCTACAACATTAAATTTTCTGTTTTTCTTGAAGAGCAACCAGAAAAGAAGTGGTATAGAAGCCAATGACCCAAAGTTCAGACTCAGAATTTCTTTATAAATGTTGAAACTCTGAAATATTACATGCTAATGCTGTCAGAGTTCTGTGAAATATGACTATCCCTGTTTCCTGGACACACCATCTAAGAAAGCTCAGGCTTTCTCCTGAGCTAAGTTTTTGGCATAGGCTGATACTATGATGAAAATGGTGATGTTTTGGAAATATACATACAATTTGGCACAGACTATATATTCTGAAAGTGTAACTTCTGCCATAAAGAAAAGATATTTAAAAGTTAGCAAGCAGTGTTTTGTTTTCTGTTGGGAAAGTGGGGGGCTGGAGGAGGGATAGCATTAGGAGAAATACCTAATGCAGATGACGGCTTGATGGGTGCAGCAAACCACCATGGCATGTGTATACCCATGTAACAAACCTGCACGTTCTGCACATGTACCCCAGAACTTAAAGTAGAATAAAAAAAGTTAGCAAGCATTTTTAGGATGCTGTAGCAAAGGTAAACACCTAAATTTGTCCTACTTAATGGAATATGACCTGAGCAGCACAGTCTTAGGGAATGGGTTTATAAAATAAATTGTAATTTAGCAATTGTGAATGAATGGTTTATCAGTTTAAAAAAGATTTATGAGCATATCAGAAAGAAAAGAATTTTCCAGAAAAAAGCCCTAAACACTTATTGGAAGACTGATTAAGAAAAAAGAAAAAAGTAAGAAGGTGCCTCTATTGTTACTGAGGCTAGACATTTTGGTCCAGAATCCATTGGCCAGTATCAGATAATTTGGTTCTGATTGATTTCTAACAGGTTTGATAGGGTCTAAGTAAAGTCCTATTCTGTGCTCAAGTTTTCCCTGGCTGCAAGCAAGGATCCTAGCCTCCACTTTTAACCACTGACACCATTAAAGGAAAGAGAGGAGAAGGAATTGCTCATGTCTAGTGGCCAGTGGATCCACGCTAGAGTTATTTGACAAGTAGCAACTCAGGACGTGCCAGACAAGGCTAATATTATTCATTGCAGGTAAAGTGTCTGCTGGACACTTAAAAGGCTTTGGAGAAAACATATGAAAGCTGGTTTCTTTTTTGCAGGGTTCCTGAGAACTAGCTGCCAAAGCAAAGGAATTCCAATATCCTAAAATAATTCCTAAAATATTATCCTAAAATAATTAGGAATTCCAGTATCCTAAAAGTGAATCTGTTCCTTAGTGTGCCATTTATGTGTTGGCCAAAGGCCAAGATAGGATAACACTGTTGCAGAACATTAGCCTATAATCAAGAATCATCAGCCTCACAAAGAAGGTCAATATCACGAAAAAGACATTAAAAATTCTATGGAATGCCCCATGAAGCAGATTTAATACGCTAAGCACCTCATAAAACAGACTTAATAGACCAAATATTAAATAAAAAGGAGAAATAACCTTAGGTAAAATAGATATATAAAATCATAAAGAATATTATGTACAATTACACATCAATAAACTTGAAAATGTGGGTAAATTTGAGGCAAATAATGAAACGCCCAAGTTGGTTCAAAAGAAAGTAAGAAATTTGAAAAGATTGATAACCAATAAAGAAATTTGAGTGTAATAAAAAGGCATTCTCTTCAAATAGTTCTAGGCCTAGAGGGTATAACAGGTAAATACTATCAAAATGTCAAGGAACCGATTCTATTTCTCTTTCCAAACATACTTCTGCAAATTAAATCAATGTATTAAATTAGGCAAAGTGTCCAATTCATTTAACTATGTAAGTATTACCTTAATCCTTAAACTAGGAAAACAAAATTATATGCAAATTTTAAATAAATATAGGTAAAAAATGTTTAATTAACATTAGCTGATCAAAAAGTTCAGGGTACTAACAAAAGAATTCATCGTAATTGAGTAAATTTTACCTTGAAAGTGTAAGGACAGTTAAATAAAAGAATATCACTCAGTATTTTCCATCACATTAATGGGGGAAAAAATCACATACTTTTTCACATACACACAGAAAAGTCATTTGAAAAGCTTCAACACTTATTTAGGATAAAAGCTCACACAAACCAAGAATAGATAGGAAATTCCTTAACTTGATAGAAGTTGTCTCCCAAAAACCTAAAGCAAATGTACGAGGAACTTTAGGAATATCATCTTTAAAGTTTGGAAGAGGGCATGAATTATTGGTGTTGCCTGTATTGTACAATATATTATAAAAGTCCTGGCAACAGTAATATAATAAGCTGTATGGATAGAAAAGACAACATTGTCATTATTTCCAGATCATTTGGTAATTTATCTAAAAAAACACAAAGGACAAACACAAAATCTTTTAAAACCAATAATAGACTTCAGTAAGATTGTTGGATTGAAAAAAGTAGCCCCAAATCAGCAGTACCTCCCCATACCAGCAACAACCAAAGATAATATAACAGACAAAGTGCAATGAATGTTTGAGAACTAATTTAACATTCTATTAAAGGACACGATATAAGAGCTGGATAAATGGAGAATCATATTATGCTCATAAATTGGCCAACAACACCATGAAGAAGTGAATTTTCTTTAGAAATAGGGAAGGATTTTTAAAACAAGCCATGAGAGCATAAGCAATAAAAAAAATTTGAATTTATTTTACAGTAACAAACAAAGCAGTTCATTTAAAATAAAAATTTTAAATTAACAACTAGAAAATGTTAGTAATATAAATAATACAAAGAATCAACATCAATAAAATGTAGAATTTCCAATAAATTTTTTAAAAGTAAGCCAAAAATATGGGGAAATTAAATGAACAAGCAATCACAGAAGACAATATTAGAATGACAATAAACATGAAAATTTTTAAAAATTAAAACTAATTTTTAATAATTTATCTAAGATTATTTAACAATATTAATTTAAAATTAATATTAAATTAGACATCTTAATTTTAAAAAGCCAATGGAATATCATTTTTCACCTATCAGATTAGCAAAAATAATAAAATCTGATGCTATTTTGTGTTGGCAAGACTATTAGGCACTGATTCTCAATCATTTCTGCACATGGGAATCACCTGCAGATCTTTAACTTATCCCAATGTCTGGCTCCCCAGCATTCTGATTTACTTGGTATGGACTTTCAAAACTGTGCTTATGATTTAGGCTTGATCAAAGAAATATCATGTGTGATATGCTATATAATTTCAAATTTTCAAAGGAATGTTAGATAGAATATTAAATTGTGAATCCTATAGGAACACCACTACTAATAAGTGGAAGTTGCAGAAAAAAATTGGAAAAATTTTTAGCAATAGTGTCCAAAGAAAGAAAGACTTTCTTTGCTTGATTGAAAGCTGCACATCACTGGAAGTGTTCAAGAACATGTTGCATAGTAACTTGGTAGGGTTTGCAGAGCCAAATTCAGGTTATTAGACCGACAGTTAGAAGAGATGACCTTAAAATTATACTTATAAATGTGATACTTGACACACTGATTACAGTCCAAGCTGAATCTCCCTTTCACCTCTTTCCTGCTTCCTTTTGTTTTCAAAAATTCCTGACTCAGCCTCTGTCTTGGGGGACAAAAAAAAGAGGCATAACCCAGAAGGTGGCTGTGTATTCTCAACTCTTGTTTCTATATGATTGTCGTGGTCAATAATTAAGGAGTGACATGGAAAATAGAAATATCACACTGATCAGAGTATGCTTAACAAAATACTTCTGATCTTGGAAAAGATTGGGGATTTTTCTCTATCTTTGTGGATGACACTGCTGTCAGTCCATTTGGGTTGGTATAACAGAAAACTGTAGGGTGGCTTATAAAAAGCAGAAATTTATTTCCCACAGTTCTAAAGCCTGAATAGTCCAAGATCAAATTGCCAGATTGGGTGTCTGGAGAGGACTCTCTGCTGCATGGATGACGCCTTCCATGTGTCCTCACAGAGCTGAAGGGTCAAATAAGCTCCCTTGGGCCACTTTTATGTAGGTATTAATCCCATTCATGAGAGTGGAGCCCTCATGACCTATTCGTCTCCCCAAGGCCCATCTCCTAATACAATTGCATTGGGGATTAGGTTTCAACATATAAATTTTGGGGAAACACAAGCATTCAGTCAATGGCAACTGGGCTCCTGCTTCAGAGATCAGGCCTCTTCCTGAAGGCGATTATTTGGTTCTTTAGAACCTTTGGAACACTGGAGCACAGTCTTGTACAGTACCCAAGGTTTGACAATGAGTACATAAAAAAGGCATACATTTATGACACTTAAGTTTTTTACTAAGAACAAAGATAACTAAACCCTCTGATACTATACACTGGAACTCTTACTTGGAGTCTGGCAAAAATGGAGTTTTCAAAGCAAATAATCATATAACATCATTCCAACAACTTCTCTGATTTATATCTACAACATACATACACACATACATATATGTGTGTATATAACTATTATATATAATAAATAATAACTTTTGCATTAAGAACATGGACAATTCCCTATAAAATTTAGTTTAAAAAAGTAGGCTAAATTCTATCCACATGTATGCATGTATATTAACATATCCTGCACATATAAATTTCATATACATAATTTACTCTAGAAGGTTATAAAAATAATTATTGACAGGAAAAATAGGATATCTGTGACCATCAAAGGAAAACTCCTCAAGCGCTTGAAATAGGTTACTAAGCAGTAGAATAGATAGTATAGTTGATTTGTTACTTTTGACTATCGTCTTGACTATCTCATCTATGTGCTCAGTCTTAACATCTAGTTTTCCTAAGTTCTTATTGTCTTATTTTTAAAGAAATTAGTCACGTGTTCTTGGCTAGGTGGATATGAGAAGGAGAAGGGGGACTAATTTAAGAATTATCATTCATTGTGAATTATGATGTGCTAGGCATTGTGCAAAATACCCACCTGAATTTTCTTACTGAAGCCACAGAACACTTCCATCAGATGTTCCAATTACCTTTCTTTTACAGAAGAGGAAATAGAAACTTTACAGCGATTAAATAATTTGCCCAAGATTACATACTGTGAGAGAACTGTGATTTGAACTCAGAGCATCTGACTTTGCCATGGGTGTGTGGGTATATAGAAGCTTGTTAAACATTGGCAGGAGAGAAATTTTTTATAAGTTCATATTACATATAAAGAGAGTTAGGACCAGGTACCTGTCAAAACAAATCAGTTTTATGTGAAAATACTTTATAAAGAAGTTTTTTATTTAATATCATAAAATAATCAGCAGTGACAAAAATGTGAAATCAAATATTGAAAGACATCATCAATTTAAAATAATTTAATTTAGAATTTGTAGCTAATTATATTTAGCCTAGATAAATTTGACCTGTGCACATTTTTAAGAAAGGAGCATTGTGTGTAAAATAACCGTAGGTGATATCTTTAAAACTTGAAGAAGAATCTCTCCTGTGTGTTGTGACATTACTCCTTATTTACTATCATATGGTACTGCTAAATCCAAACAAATTTTGATACATTTATACCTGACCTCCTTATAGAAATATATAATAACCAGTTCAAATGATGTTGAGATTTTAAAGTAATGAAATGTAATTCATTAAAAATATTTAATAGTAGATATTCCCTAATATTAAGTAATATTTCCATCCAGTAATTCCAGATTAAGGAGGATTTATTATATCTATTTCAATCAGTGCCTATAATTTTTACTACTTTTGAAGAAATACTGGCATTAGTTAAGATGTTTCAATCGTAGGGTAAAATAAATGTTTATTTTCCTTTTACTATCATTCATTTTTATTAGCAGAAAATAATGTTACAGTATTTCTTTATTTTCAGTTTTATATTCAAATTGGTTGAAGGTCCAAGCACCTGAGCTACCTAGTATTCGTAAACTCAATATTATACATAAGTTTCTAAATTTGGAACATATTGTTCTCCTACCATCTAGGGGATTCTGTTTTATAGATAAGTAATAACTTGCTTGAACAAAATTACTAATGCCATTTCCAATGATGTTCTTGTTATGTTATAACCCTGACACCAAAAGCAATAGTTAGGGCTAAAGCACAGCATAGGTGCTTGTTCTCAGCCTGATCAAACAAGCTTAATTATGACCTCCAGATAAAGGTACTGCCATTAATCCATTGAATTATCACAGATAAGGCTGAGTCTTCCTTACTGTCTGATGATAAATCACAGCTAACAACAGCAAAGAAGTTAGAGCTCACATAGCTAATCCTTCGGAGATTTTGAATGGGCTGGTTCTCCTACTGTTTTGCATCTATTTATATTGCACTCAGAACCCCCAAATGGCCTCTGCTTATCTCCAGCTTTAGATAATTTATGCTTTTTGGTGTGTCACCTCACCGCTGAAGCTGTTATCAGGAATGATGAGGTTTAGGAAATCGGATCCACTGAAATGCTAATCCTCCTGCCAATTACTACACAAAAACAAGTTTTCTTCACTGATTTGCTTTTGTTTATTTGATACTGCAAATGTGGATTTTATGATTACAGTTTAGGACAATTGTTTAGCTCCAAAACAAAATAAGCATTTAATTTGACTAGCTTTCTCTTTTCACAAGAGTGGTTGGGCAATTTACACTGATTCAAATGGCCAGATGGTTTCCTCTCTGTTTGTCACTGACTAAATAGATGTGTAAATATTTTTATTTTCATAGAGGGCTGGTCTTGAGAAGAGAATTTGTTGAAGTCCCCCTCAGTGGTGGGCTCCTGCTCCAAGATGCACTCATCCTAATTTAGATTCTTTGATATAAAGTATCTTCTATGTGAAGCTTTCACATGGAAATATGATGCCTGTCTTGGAAAGTCATTAAGATAATTTTTTTCATCCCTTATTGCTGTCCAAGTTTTATGAAATCTTATCTCTGAGAATTTTATGAGGTTATTTGACTAGTAGTTAAATGTATTACTTTCCGGTGATATCAAACATTCCTAAATGAGTAACTATCAAGCCCATAAAATTCTCATGTGCTTATTAGCATAGTATAATGAAAATTTGAAATGCAAGGTTGGACTGTACTTTTAAACAGGCAAATTAAAGTCATACCTAGCTGTGTTTTCCAATTTATTTTTTCTCAATAAGATCTCTACGTTTCCAAGGCTTGGAAAGGATGAGGTCACCCAATTGTCGTGATTGATCACCAATTATTCAAGTCTTCTTGTGTTGACTATTGATGCCAGTTATTGAGATAGTAATCTTCAAAGTGATAAAGGAAGTTACAAAATTAATTCAACCTTGAGATTCCATTACACTTAGTGTCACCTAATAGAACATTTGATATTTTTAATCCTAGTTAAAGGCTTTCTCCCTAAGCAGATGCTGATGGCAGAAATGATGGAAAAGAAAAATATCTAACATTATAACTTCTGCAATTCTTTTTTTTCTTGGTATATTTCAGTGTAAAGCATTTATGTAGGTGGCTTCCCAGATGGCTCCTTGATTCTTCTATAGAAATGTAAGATAGGTATCTGTATTTTAACTTGCAAATGAAATGCTCATAAGACTTCTTCCGACATACATGAAAGCTTCTTCTCTTCAAAGACTAGTTTCTGTATTTTAAACATGTATTTAGAAAACCTTCTTAACTTTTTCTTCTAAGGCAACATAATTAAAAATACATATTGATTACTAGATACAAGCCGTTCCAAGAGCTACTTAAAACTGAATTTTAGGTGAGATTTAATATATTAGCAGATATTGTGAAGGTAAATATTAAATCACTGACCACCTGATATACCTCATTGTTTGTTTTATATTTATCAGTAGGCACATTCCTTTTGAAAGAGCAAGTCTGCTTTTATTTTTTATTTTGTTTTATTTTTATTATTTTCTTTAACAGCATGTTTTGAATATCCATTTCAAATTTCTCAGGTGCTAATAGACTCCCACTATGAAATTTTACCTGGTTTTACTGTTTCCAGGCATAAGGTAATATGACTCATTACTCAATGTAAATACACAGAAATAATTAAGCAGAGTTCTCAGATTTTTTGCTTCTCTATACCTGGAATGAAACTTTCAAAGAGAGGGAAGGGCAAAAGCACTCATCACTTTATGGCACAAGTAATTGTGGTGTCAACAGAAAGTCAGTATTTGACTTTAGAATGGGAGAAAATTTTTGCAATCTACTCATCTGACAAAGGGCTAATATCCAGTATCTACAATAAACTCAAACAAATTTACAAGAAAAAAACAAACAACCCATCAAAAAGTGGGCAAAGGATATGAACAGACACTTCTTAAAAGAAGACATTTATGCAGCCAAAAGACACATGAAAAAATGCTCATCATCACTGGCCATCAGAGAAATGCAAATCAAAACCACAATGAGATACCATCTCACACCACTTAGAATGGTGATCATTAAAAAGTCAGGAAACAACAGGTGCTGGAGAGGATGTGGAGAAATAGGAACACTTTTACACTGTTGGTGGGACTGTAAACTAGTTCAACCATTGTGGAAGTCAGTGTGGCGATTCCTCAGGGATCTAGAACTAGAAATACCATTTGACCCAGCCATCCCATTACTAGGTATATACCCAAAGGATTATAAATCATGCTGCTATAAAGACACATGCACATGTATGTTTATTGTGGCACTATTCACACTAGCAAAGACTTGGAACCAACCCAAATGTCCAACAACGATAGACTGGATTAAGAAAATGTGGCACATATGCACCATGGAATACTATGCAGCCATAAAAAATGATGAGTTCATGTCCTTTTTAGGGACATGGATGAAGCTGGAAACCATCATTCTGAGCAAACTATCGCAAGGATAAAAAACCAAACACCGCATGTTCTCACTCATGGGTGGGAACTGAACAATGAGAACACATGGACACAGGAAGGGGAACATCACACACAGGGGCCTGTTGTGGGGTGGGGGGAGTGGGGAGGGAGAGCATTAGGAGATACACCTCATGTTAAATGATGAGTTAATGGGTGCAGCACACCAACATGGCACATGTATACATATATAACTAACCTGTATGTTGTGTACATGTACCCTAAAACTTAAAGTATAATAAAAAAAAGAAATAAAAATATCTGCCACTTTATTTGGCTTTGATATGCAAGTGTTTGAAATTAACTGACATTAAGGCATTAAGGAGTGTATGCATATGTATATTCATCTCCATTCAATTATTCTCTAACATTGAAAACACTTTTAGTAATTTTATGTACCACAGCTCTTAACCAACTGCTCTATGCCAGAGTCCTAGTGGATATCATTCCCTTCATTCAGCATAAAACCAAAACAAAACACAAACAAAATGTGAAATAAACAAATGAAAACAGAATAATCTGCCTTCTTGCTGATAATGATGATTATTTTTTATAAGAATGGGAAACAAACAGAATAAAATAAATTAAGCTTAAAGGAGTTACACAATCCCAAGTTGTGCAATTTGGGAGGTTATCCTTAGTTTTTTATTTGTTTGTAAAAGATTGCTTTCTTGTACTACCTTTGCTCTCAATCACCATCTTCTCTCTCTTCATCTTTTATCTAAAGCTGTTTTATTTTCCCCTCTCTGATACCTTTTCCTCTGCCCTTCTATTTCCCAGAGATGTGGCTTTTCAAACTGCCTTGCTTCGTTAACATTTCACATATGGACCTCATGGTACAGATGCCTCAAAATGCTTTTGCTATGAAACTTGTTCTTTATGCAATAGTAAAGCCTTAAGTATATGAAGTAAAACGTGATCTGAATATGAGAAAAGTTAAGCATTTAAGGTTTTAAAATTATTTTTCTGGAAGGATGTGCTACCGTTATTATCCAACCTAGCAAAATTACTAAGCTATTCTTAGACAAATTTCTGTCAGCTGAAAGAGAAGGAGAAAGGGAGGAAGAGAAGAAGCGAAGAGGAAAAGAAAAGAGAAGCTGGTCTGTAAAGGAAAAGCATGGAATTTGAATATTCTATTTCACATGACCTAGATGAATAAGTCAGACAGTTATTTACCATTAAATAATACACAAAACTACCTAGATTGAAATTTTTCTCTACCTCAAGTTTGGATCCCTTAGGATCAATGAAAAGATTATTGAAAGCTCTTTATTGATCTCTCACATTTCTTAATTCTCAACACATTTACTGTTTGAACTACATAATTGAGGATTGGCTATATATTATTTTAACTATCACTCTTTAATTGTTTCATATATGTGAATTTTTTCTTCCCAAATAGATTCTGATTTCCTACAGCATGGGAATGCATCTTATTTTTTAAATATATTCGTTGCACTTAGAATAGTTGTGGGTCCATAGTCCTAGGCTATCAATGTATATTTGGGGATTTATTAAGATAGAGAGATCATAGGTGAAGATCAGGGTACAGCTGCTCAAAAGTGGTGTGCACAAGACACTCTGAGAGGTTGTGCTCAAGAATGATGTGTGTTTGTAAGAGGAATCTGACAGAGACAGCAATAAAAAGCATAAAATTTTATTTCTTTGATAGGCCAAGTGAGTCCATAGCCAGGCAGTTTGACAAGTCACTGTTGAACTGTTTAGTGTACATAACTCTTTGGGTCATCTGCACAATTTAAAGCAACTACCACAGGCACTAGAGATAATATTAGAGAATTTGGATTGGATACTTACTTAGTATTTCTTCATAGATACTTTTGGCAGTTTAAGATAGTGTTGTCTATGTTATGCAGAAACTATGTAACTATTTGGGTAGAGACCTTTAAAAGTATATTTAGACAGAGAAATGGGGACAGAACTTTTGACATTAGCCACAGAAAATGAGGATTTTTGTCATAAGTGTTTGCACCCAGTTCTTAGATTTGCAATAATTATAAAGTCAAACAAAGCCAAATGACTGCATGTTGTGATTTGAGTTAAACAAATAACTCAGGAAAGCATGGAAATCACCAGATATCTGTGTAAACTTGTGGTTTGTTTCCTGGTTTATGCATGTGTACTCATGTGAGGTGCTGACCCTGTTTTATAAAAGGCTGCTGGGAAAAAATAAAATTGGCTTTGGGTATTTTATTAGATTTTTTCAGAGGAAAAAAGTCCAAACCTCTTATAAATATTGCTGGTCTCTCTAAATCTGTGAAAAATATTAGAATAATCTAGAGCAAAATTGAAAGCCTTTGTGTGTGTGTGTGTGTGTGCACGTGTGTGTGTGTGTGTGTGTTTTGTCCTATTTTTTAATAGGGAAATCACAAAGGCAAAGACATTTCTTTGTATCTTACATTAATGTTTGGTGTGGAGACAGGGCTGTTTCTCTGGAGATTCTATTTCTCTTTCCCAATCTCTCTCACATTTATGTTCAGGAGATTCCAAGTTAAAGAGCAACCTTGAGTAAAGGAAAGGACCAAAAGAAGATACCAAAACTCAAGACACAACCTGGGAGAAATGGAGACAAAAAGACGCAGCTACTTTGATCGAAGGTTGTAGCTGAAAGGGACTTTAGATATCTGATACCCTCATTCTACAATGAAAGAAAGGGAGGCCCAGAACCTTTAAGTAAGTTAAACATACTCACACAAGTGGCCAATATAGAATTGGATCTCCTTTTCCTAGTTACTACTTCTAAGTCTTTTCCTCTAAATCAAAATGTCTTTCTTGTAAGTGATGTGCAAGGGAGAAGAGAAGTCACACAGTTTAAAACATCTTCTAGGCTTTTAAACTGCTCACACACACCTGAGCTTTGCCTATTCTTGTCTCTACTTAAGGCAAATCCCCAGCCCAATGTTCAAGTCCTATAATTCACTATAACTTAAAGTTGAACCACAGGCTACACAGCTAAATATGAAATATTGGTAACTGATTGAGTGACTACAGATTGGCTGGGAAAGTGAAACTAACTCCTATTTACCTCTAATGAAATAAGAAACAGACTGTTGCGTGTTGTGTAAATCGCTCTGTAGTGGGCCCTGTGTTGTTGATGATTTGTAAGCAGGTATTTAGACCTGTTTTTGAGGGAGCCCAGGGAAGGTGATGTCAGGAGGACAGTGTGGTGTTGGTAGTGAGGGCCTGCCTGAGATCAGGTTGAATGTGCTTGTTCTACATGCTTTTGTGCTCCAAAAGTTTGTGGCAGTGCACTGAAAAGATGAAATTCCTTGAGATAGAGAGCAAAGAGAACATGTGAAAACAAACAAACAAACAAACCTGACAAGGTTGTGTAATAGTTTGGAAAGAAGCACATAGTAAAATCTTTGTACAGCATACCTAGTACATTTTGGAGGAGACGGGATGTTGTAATGAGCACTTGCCCCTTACTGAACTGAGTGAAGAATAGCTAACCGAGTCACCATATTTTATATATTCAGTATCTTAGGTGCATATTCTCAAAGACAATAGAAAGCCAAAAGCTCGTAATTACTCATTTTTTGTGCCTTTAATGTGTGATATTGCTGCATGCTTCTTTTTGATCTTTACAGCAAATGAGGAAGCATTGCAAAACAGAGCTGCCTCCCCTTGTCTCTGTGATAATTCAGGCAGCAAGTGCATGGTTCCTGCTGTGCAGCGTTGTTAGCTGTGCCTGCAAGTGCTGGCTGGAATATAACTAAATAAACCTACAGACAGGAAAAAGAAACACCATTGCACTTAACCTGCTGTTTTACTTTGGTTTTAAGTTTGCAAATGATTTTTAGTCAATTGTCAATATGGAGGAAGCCTAAACAGATCCCAAAGGAAAAAGCACTATTAAAAAAAGGTTCCCTTTTACATTCTGCCAAACAATATTTTCAGACTGATAGAAATTAAACATGGTATTTACATGGGATCAATAGGAAAGCACTCACCCACTCATTCACTCATTTATTCGTCTACTGCCTATTTGATGGTCTACACATTAGATCTTATTCTAAAGTGAGATCCTATAAGAGTCTAACACCAGTATTAATAGACACGTAAAATGAGTTCATACGTTTTATGTCTTTTGCCAAAAAGACATGTAAAGTAATGGGATATAGATTATTATTCCTATCAAGAGCACATTTTCCTCTACCACTCTAAGACAAATCTCTAATCTTTCAGTCTTACTCCTAAAAAAATGTTTTCCAGAAGCCACTAAACAGATTTCCTGCCTCAGGACTGGAGCCACATTTGCAAACCTCAGCCAGACACTGGTAAGAGGATGGATATCACCCTGACTAATTTATATTAGGCATGATTTGTCCTGGGAAAAGAAGGGGTCTTCTATGAGCATACGAAAGACCAAAAAAAAAGAAAAAACAAGAAAAAAAGTTAAACAACAACAAGATAAAAGGAGCAACCTAAAGACTACGTCCTCCATCCCCAATTTCTCAATTACAAGCTATTTGTTGCTTCTGAGGCTGGTAGCTACTAAAGTGTCTATGACTGGGGGTGGATGAAATCCCTGATTCTTAGGTTCTTCCTATGTGGGCTAGTCAGTTAATTAAAGAGTGACTAGCTGGGCGTGGTGGCGCATGCCTGTAGTCCCAGCTACTCGGGAGGCTGAGGCAGGAGAATCTCTTGAACCTGGGAGACAGAGGTGGCAGTGAGCTGAGATTGCACCACTGCACTCCAGCCTGGCGACAGAGTGAGACTCCATCAAAAAAAAAAGAAGAGGAATGTGCAGATGAGTGGCAAATCCTGGGAAGATCTTGGTGTTTGGGAATGTATAAACTTTCACAAAAGAAGGTATGTAGTCACTTATTTTAAGTAACCCTAGTCAACTTGACCCACTGAAGACCAGGATAGAACTAGATATTCGCTGAGTCTTCCCTGATTCTGAGACTAGGAGACTGCAGAAAAAATAGAAAACAGAGTGACCTTTCTGGGTATATCAAGAAGAGACTGTTAGCCTGCCATTCAAGACAGGAAGAGGAAGTGAGATAACCCTTTTGACTTTCATCCTCTAGAGAGTCTCTGTCCTAAATAAATTTCAGCCACCAGAACTCAGCTGCATGTGCTGCTTAAGAAAATAACTACCCATTTAAGGGGCCATGGCAATGAGAAAGAAAAAGATCAGGTTGCAATTCAGGATACATGCCCAGGGAAAAATGAGCTACTGAATTTTTTTAAATAAGGAAGGAAGAGAGGGAGGGAGGAAGGAAAAAAGAATATATTGAAAGATGTTCAAATCACACACACACATACACACACACACACACACACACATACACCCCACATTCCTGGTTTTGGAACTAACATTAAATAGATGTTTTAGAAGGGAAAACAGTTACTACTGAAATTAGAATTTATGACTGAGTGAATTAAGCACAAGAAATACTTAAAAGCACAGAAAAGAAAGAGGAAGAGAAATCATGAAGAAAAAAGAAACTGTGAGAATAGCTCTAAGAAAAAGAACAGCCAAAAGGTGATTTAAAGGAGGAAAAAATAGTAAATGGGAGAGAGGTAATTACTGAACAACTTCTAGAAATAAATTTTCCTGAATTGAGAAAAGATTTGGGTCCAGAAATTAAAAGGGCTGACTAAGTTTCAGGCTGATTTAATAAGAAGATATATGCAACCAAGTAAATCCTTATAAAATGTGTGAACTCCAAGGGTAAAGAAAAAGGTTTATGTTTATAGCTTGGAAGAACAAGTTACTCACAAAGGAAAAATAATCACACTGGTATAGGCTTTATTTTTTGACCCCGGAAGCTAATAGACAATAGATCATTTAATACACTCAGGAAAACAAACAACATGCAAAAACTCCTATATTCAGTCCGTAATTTTCTTGTTTATTATCCGGTTGATGCCTTTTTTGAAAAAAGACAAAATATATAGAAAGAGTGACATACACAAACTGGAATGGTTTGCTATGCAACCATACTACCTAAGGAGAATACTTGAGGAAAGGCCATAAAAAGACAAATTAATCATAAGAGAGACAAGGTGAAAGAAGAGAGAACAGTGGTGAGTAATGACATTTAATATATGTAAGTTTAATAGGTGAGGATATGAGGAATTTCACAATCTAAGGGACTTATTTTAAAACAATTCAAATAATCACTCAATTATTCCAGCAAAACCTAGGAGATGGAGGTGGGCATGAGGGGGATAAAGAGAGGTTGAAAATGTTCTAATCATGTCATTATGGACAGGGGAATGGAGGACAAAAAAAAAGAAAAGAAAATATATTCTTAGAGTTTTTTCCTATTGAGGGTTAGGAAGGATATGTGGGAAAAAGTAAAGGACTGTAGGAGAAGGAGAGAATAAGTCTTGAATAAGTTGTATGAGAGAAGAGAATGGGACTGAAATCACCGAGGAAATGTAATTAGAGTGGAAACTACATTAATTTGGGAATGTATAGAACTTTCATCAACTCAGTCCAAATAGCATAAATATGTAAAATGTATATAGCATTATTTATTTAACTGTTATATGTTACATCTTAACACCAAGTTATGATCCAGTAGATTTGTTTCATGGTGATTCCAAAATGATTTCTGACCTCAAATGCAAATGGATGAACCAGTGCATCACAAGTTCAAAGATCTGGGGGGGTTCTGAGGAAATCAGTGTTAAGACAATGCAGAAATTCATACTAGTGTAAACTCATGCATTCTACACATTTGTGTTATTTCTTTTCCATATGATTAAATAAATCCACACTCTCCTTTCTTCTTCTTTTTATCTCTAGCTCCTAAATAGGTAAAATAAATGTATTAGTCTGTTAGAGCTGCCATACAAAGTATCACGGATTCGGTGACCTAAACAACCAAAATTAATTTTCTCACAATTCTAGAGACTAGAATTCCAAGATCAAGGCATTGACAAGGTTGATTTTTTTTTCTGGGGTGTAGGGGTGGGTTGCCCCTCCACACCTGTGGGTGTTTCTCATAAGGTGGAACGAGAGACTTAGGAAAGAAAAAGACACAGAGACAAAGTATAGAGAAAGAAATAAGGGGACCCGGGGAACCAGCGTTCAGCATATGGAGGATCCCGCCAGCCTCTGAGATCCCTTAGTATTTATTGATCATTCGTGGGTGTTTCTCCAAGAGGGGGATGTGTCAGGGTCACAAGACAATTGTGGGGAGAGGGTCAGCAGACAAACACGTGAACAAAGGTCTTTGCATCATAGACAATGTAAAGGATTAAGTGCTGTGCTTTTAGATATGCATACACATAAACATCTCAATGCTTTACAAAGCAGTATTGCTGCCCGCAGGTCCCACCTCCAGCCCTAAGGCGGTTTTTCCCTATCTCAGTAGATGGAGCATACAATCGGGTTTTATACCGAGACATTCCATTGCCCGGGGACAGGCAGGAGACAGATGCCTTCCTCTTGTCTCAACTGCAAGAGGCATTCCTTCCTCTTTTACTAATCCTCCTCAGCACAGACCCCTTACGGGTGTCGGGCTGGGGGACAGTCAGGTCTTTCCCTTCCCGAGGCCATATTTCAGACTATCACATGGGGAGAAACCTTGGACAATACCTGGCTTTCCTAGGCAGAGGTCCCTGCGGCCTTCCGCAGTTTTTGTGTCCCTGGGTACTTGAGATTAGGGAGTGGTGATGACTCTTAAGGAGCATGCTGCCTTCAAGCATCTGTTTAACAAAGCACATCTTGCACCGCCCTTAATCCATTTAACTCTGAGTGGACACAGCACATGTTTCAGAGAGCACGGGGTTGGGGGTAAGGTTATAGATTAACAGAATCTCAAGGCAGAAGAATTTTTCTTAGTACATAACAAAATGGAGTCTCTTATGTCTACTTCTTTCTACACAGACACAGTAACAATCTGATCTCTCTTGCTTTTCCCCACTCTGGGGCTTCTCTCTTTAGTTTGGAGGTGGCCATCTCTTTCTGGTGTTCTCACGTGGTCTTTTCTCTGTGTATGTCTCTATTCTAATCCCTTTTCTTTTTTAGGAAGTCAGTAATATTGAATTAGGCTCACACATATGACCACATTTTACCTTAATTACCCCTTTAAAGCCCCTGTCTTAAAAATACAGTTACATTCTGAGGAATTGGGGGCTAGGACTTCAACATATGGGTTTGGGCGACACAATTCAGCTCATAATAGCAAAATAAAACAAAATAAAATGAAATGTCTCTTACTTCTTTCTGTGGATTTTGAAATGTCCTAGGCCTGAGTTTTTGAGAACATTCTGTAAACCTCTAATTACTCTGTAAACTCTTGTAGCCTCTGAAATAATCATCAAACTGGAGGTTCTGCAGACACCAGGGGAAATAAAATCCTTTTGTTTGAGTATTTAAGAATACAAAATTTAAATTTCATTCTGATTTCTATTTAGAGATCTATCTATCATCTATCCACATACCTTACCTATCTATTTAATTTTGAGATATTGAGAGATTGTCCAGAGTAGTCTCTCTCCCCACAGAAGGTCTTCCACAGGCACTATCATCCAGGGAGAGCAAGCAGAACCTTGGAAAAATAAATTGTTAAATATCCAAATGGATTTTGTAAAGCATTATATTGAAGCATAATGCAGACACATAAATGGATTTCCATTTATATATATGACAATAGTCCTGAAAGCAATATTTTCTCTCATTCTTTTTTTTTTTTTTTTTTGAGATAGAGTCTCACTCTGTTGCCCAGGCTGAAGTACAGTGGCATGATCTCTGCTCATTGCAACCTCTGCCTCCTGCCTCAGCCTCCCAAGTAGCTGGGATTACAGGGGCGGGCCACCATGCCCAGCTAAATTTTATATTTTTAGTGGAGATGGGGTTTCTCCATGTTGGCCAGGCTGGTCTCAAACTTCTGACCTCAAGTGATCCGCCCACCTCAGCTCCCAAAGTGCTGGGATTACAGTCATGAGCCACAATGCCTCCTGCTCTCTCATTCTTTCTATCTTAATGATCAGGTGGTTTAAAAAGTAAAGGTTCTGTTTTCCTTTTAGTTGTTGGTTTCCTCTAAAACACTAACGTAAAATATAAAATTCTAAATCCTGGAAGACTTAGAATACGAAGTTTGAACTATAAATCATATGATGCAGAAGACTGTAATATCAGAGCATTGGTTTCTATCCAAAAGGAGGTGTGATTTCAACTAGCAAGGGGAAGAAGAATGTGAGTCATAAAATAGAGCATAGACCCTGGTTGGTGACTATCAAGAGACTTTGTATCCTTCTCCTCCAGGGACTGAAATTCTATTAAAGTCTATTGAAATTTCATATGAACCTCGGAGATACCTGGACCTGGGTGGCCTTAGGGAAGAAAGAACTGGTGCCTGACTCCCACACATGTAGTCCACTTACTGCATGTTTCACAGACAAGCCCAACATGGTAAATGAGTGACAGAGCAGCGAGATTGGGGAATAAGTCCCAGCAAAATGAGCACTGGGACAACAAATGGCACGGGGAGAGTCCTAGCAGGATTCCTGTGCCAGAAATTTCCATCATTCATTGATATTTGTTTATCTACCCCTTTTGGACCACTAGGAAAGATCGTGCTTTCTTGTTCCTTTGAAGTTAGGTGTGGCGATCAGCTCTTTGACCAATGACAAATTGCCAGTGTGATCATTGGTGATATGTGTCACATGTGGGAAGTATTTACTGCTGGTGTATGAATCTGTATTTCTTTTCCCTGCCATGGCAAGTGTGGAAACTTGCTTAAATGTCACCATCACAAGATAATGTACCCTCCATCAACAGAGGGACAAAGCTAGTGACAAGACACATAGGGCAAAGCTACCCTTTTTGGTTATGTAGCGTGAAAAAGAAATATATTTTGTTATTTTAAGTGCTGAGATTTGGGGCTGTCAGTATCATGTAACCTCTTCGGATTGATTGAAGTAGACATCTACATGCAATACCAGAGAGTGGCTCTCAGACAAGACTATTAGCTCCTGACGCCAGAGCAAAAGAAAAGTCCTGGCAAAAGAGAAAAGTCTTTGCAAGTTAGATCACTTCAGTGGACAAAGCAAGAGGAAGAAAAGAGAAGAATCTGAAAGCAAGAACATTTGAAATGACTAGAGTCTGTATGTTAACCCAGATGCAACCCTGTTCATAAGTCAGCAAGATTAAATTTCTCAAAATCAGCAGAAATGGAAACTAAAGAACAAGATTTATTCAATTACAGGAAAATAAAAGTCATCATGATCCACCCTATCTTAAGAATTAATGTGACCATAAAAAATTACAAATGTGTATGGAAAACCATATTACTTAATGATATAATTGATTTAACTCTTAAATATGTGTTGGTAAATAAGTCACATGAACATTTAACAACAAAATATTTCAGAGTGACATTGTAGTGTTGTGACAGCACAATGTTACCCTCTATCTTTAGAAATTTTTTTTAAAACAAACTAAACAAAAAACAGTCTTTCAATTGGATTCCTTTATACTCAGCATATTATGTTCAGGAATAGTTTAAAGGAAAGGAGCATATAGAGAAGTAGAAGAAAAAAGTTGCTCAATTTTTTTAATGAATAAATGCAAAGATCTAAGTTCATAGATGTTGATACTGGCTAAATATCTTGGAAGGTGGTGAATTGTCAGTTAGCAATAGACTGACAACAAGGAACTGTACCTACAGTGGTTGACATAAAACTTAAGTAGCTGTTTGAAGATTCATGAACATTCATATTGGGGTGGCAATTACACTGAATACTGAGGCTAATAATTACATTTCTATTGTCATTCTTTGCCAAATATGGATAAGCAAGCTCACTTTTCCCATAATTACTTTCCTTACCGGATATACAGAATTTGGTCTACCACTTTGTAACTGCTAATACTCTTTAATATAGTTATTTATTATAACAATATATTAATTATATAACATGATACTATAATTAGTCAATAATTAATATCAATTAAATAAATGCTACTATAGGTTACAACTAAATTACAATTAATAATTATAATCACGATTTTATATTTTTGATAAGTTGAATACATTCTCATTTGAAACTGATTTTACCACTCATATATTCAAATTTTGAAGATACATTTATGGACATATTAGAAAAAACTTCTTAAAGAATGAATATTTCAAAAGTCAATAAATTGTCAAAGTCACAGATAGCTAGAAAATGAAGGTTATGAGGCCCTGCCTCTAGTTTATTAAAAGTATCATTACTTGCGGGATTTATTGTATTTACTACTGTGCAATTTATTTGCACCTTTTTCAAGGGTCCTGAAATAAGTATCTCAACTTCCTAAACCTAATACTTCATAGTAGGTGTGGCATATTTATGTTCAGAAATCTGTAAATAATTCATTTCAGTGGAAATTTTGTCATTAAAATACTCATTATGTGAAAAGTAGTGTAATATTTTTGTTAATAATTTTAAATATTTATTCATTTTTACATAATTTTGAATTAAAGCTAAGTGTGTGTGGATTAGCTGGCAACATGGAAAAGGGAGAAAGCTTTGTGTCTGAGGTCAGTTATCTTTATTTTCTATTTTACTGCTACTCAAATTGTGATCTATGAACTCTTTGTTTCTAATTTCTGATGAAATTATTACAAAAATTGAATGTGAGAGTTTAGAAACTTGCGGGATAATTTAACATACAAACACAAGATGAGTGAACTTGTCTCACTGAACAGGTTATACACCAGTTTCTGTTTTAACTTCTCTGTGGATCACTTGCAGCTTGAGCTCCTTAGTTACATCAGCTCAAGACAGACTGGGGAAAAAAAATGAAATAAAAACAGATTCTTCACCATGGATAATTTGGTCTACCTTACCAGGGCTTAGTAATCTTAGGTCAAGATAGTTTACTTTTTGTTCATTTTTATTTTTTGTTATTAGCAAACAGTTTCAGCTGTTTAAATGATTTTCTAAATTAAACTGCGGCTGATTACCAATCAGAGTAAGTAGCTATAAAAAATGATATCTATTTTCCTTGTAAATAATTTGCATACACTTGAATATGTTATCTGAATTTATAAAGTTATGTACAAATCGTTTTAATAACTAATAGTAGGAATAAATATAATAAATATAAGTGGCAAATATGCAGCTGTTAAGACATGCCAGGTTAAGTATTTAAAAATCATTATGTCATTTAATCCTTATAATTACATTTGATGTTAAGTACAATATTATCCTCAAATAGTACAGGCAGATGAAGTACAGAATAGTCCAGCAAATTATCCAAGGTCAAATATTTAGGAGGTGGTAAGATAACAATTTGAATTTTGGCTTAATAATACGTAGGCTCCGTACCTCTCATCAGCACTTAACTTTAGCATGTATGAGAATCACCTGCAGAGATTGTTAAAGAGAAGTCCACTAAGTCTGGGAATGACTCAGTAATTTGCCCTTCTAACAAGTCCCAGGAAATGCTTGACACAGAGATCACACACTTTGGGAAGAAGCCCATCTTTTAGTTAGAGAGCTTTACAGGATCCTGTTGCAGGAAGGCACTGAGCAGTTAGTATGCCTTTCTCTTCTTACCCAGATATGCTATCTACTGTCAAAAGATGCTGAGATCATCACACAGTACCTTCAATAAAAAGCACAAAACTGCATTTATTGTGTGAGAGCTATGCTGGTCAGGCACAGTCTCTCTGAGAAGAATAGAGGATGGATCTTATATGGGATTTGGGGAAAGCATGGAGTTCAGGAATTGGTAAACATTCAGAAGTACAGAAGTTGACATCATCTGTAGAAGCTTAGTAGCTATTTGTTACCATGGCTACAGAGGACAGTGTTTTCCTAAATTTGTGGAACTTCTTTACTTTTATCACCAAACCTGATACACAAATATACTACCACCAAATTCAACCGTGGTCTTCTTCATGCCACTACCCCCAAATTTTGCAAATGTTGTTAGTAACCAAGTCTAAAGGAGTACTTTACAAATTATATGACAATGTATCTATTTAAAATCTTACCCAAGCAAGGTCTGTTGAAACTGAAAATGTGTAGAGTTCCTGAAACAAAGTAGGATTCCTCAATATCCAATAGCAGGAATAAAAGAAAGATCCATGGGCATCTCTAGCAGATATGAGAAGAGAGGCTCTTCCAGAAACTCTTATTCATATATAGTACATTTATCTAGGAGTCACAATTTAGTAACATCCAATTCTTCCGTTCATTACCAACACAATCACCAATATACTGACCCAGAATACTGTATGTATGTGTACATTTGTGTGTGTGTGTGTGTGTGTGTGTGTGTGTGTATAAAGGAAGAACAATTTATCTCCATTTTCCAGTATATACTATTATTATTATTAAAGTTAGACACTGGGAATTATGAATGAATTAGCTCATTACTGAATACTTAAATACTAACTGAAATATCAACAATGTCATATAAATTCTGTGTACCATGTAGTTAAGGTTAATAAATGACTGGCATCACTGATTTGTTCTATTTTTTCTTACAAGTTTTACTGTGTAAAACCCTATGTAAAACCTTTTACTTTTAGAAATGTAAGACCAATGTTTAAAGGTGACAGATAACTTAACTCACAATTTATATAACTACATGTTTTCCCCTAGAATTAATCATTTCCTCTATGAAGTATAATTTTGCAATTATTTTCTTATTTAGTTCTCTGTGACTGATTAAATGTTTTAATGCTTCTACCCCAGGGATTAACCTGGAAACAGATACACAAGGAAAAAGATTACTCTACGTAAAGTACTGATATATTCATGGCTATTTAGGTAATACTACAATTTTACCCATTCTGAACAGATAAAGAGCAAAGATTTAATCTAATACATAGACCATCAATAAGTAATTATTGGAAGCAAATCTCCACCAATTGTTTAAATTATGGGGCTTCACCAAAAAATTAACAACAATGAAGCACCAAAATTTTCTATCAAAATCTTGTGCTTTATTTGCTAAAGGACACTAGCATTTAAGCTTTTTGGTCTACTGTAGGAAAGACTTTTGTGTGTTTTGAGCAGAGCCTAGAAGAGTGTCTGGCATATAGTGAGTGCTTGTGTCTTGATTGAGTTAATTAATGTACTTAGGAGCAGTCTTCTAGGAGAACCTAAGCTATTGATCCAATGAACACAAAGAGGTCTGCTATGGAGAAATCAGCATGAAGTTGTTTAGTCCCATGCTTCTCAAACTAATATGATTTGTAAATCACCTCATGTTCTTGTTACATTGCAGATTCTGATTTAATAGGTCTGGTCTCAGGCCTGGGATTCTGCATTTCTAACAAGCTCTCAGCTGATGCCAATGCACTGTAATCTAAGCCATAGTTTGAAGAGTGATGGTTTCCTCACTTCTTCAAGAAACTGGCCCTTACTCCTTCTTACAACGTAACACTGGAGACTAATCACATTATAAAAATGACAAATTCTATGCCAGAGATATTAAAGTAAGTCAAGTACAATGCAAAGTGATTCTTCATAGTTCTCTTTTGTAAATTGTACTTGGTAGAACTTTGTAGTCATGGTGTGTTTATAAAGCAATGAAGAAAGTGTGTCCTTTGTTCTAACAAAAGGGTCTTAGTCCTGATTGGGAAATAGACTGAAGCCTGCTGTCAGTTCACGCAATTGACTGTTCCTGCTGGAACATGTGAATTTCCTCAGGTGAGTTCAGTGAAAGAATCACTCTGTTACAAATAAATACGGTTGGTTTACACTTTAGATCCTCCCTCAGTCTTTCTTCCCCAAACTAAAACTTTGGGTTTTGTGTGTCTTTTTTTTCCCTTTATCTCCTTTAATAAGACTTTCCTATTTAGGAAGTTTTTAGAAAGTGTACAAATTTGGCAGAGCTGACCAAAATTTCTTTTGTATGAATCTAGAGAAAGTAAAATGTTTTGTGTTGGCAGAACTGTAACCCATTCCAAACTTGTGGAACAGATAAGAGCTATAAAATATAGTCATCTGGAATGAAGTAATTGTTCTTGGGATGTAATGTGCCAAAGAAAGAGAAATCTCTGGGTTGGCTCTGAGAAATGTTTGATCATCTTTAAAACAGGATATGAAAACAACACTGTAACATCCTGCTGCTTTAAAGTCAGGGTGGCTTGACGATACAGAGTTTATTAAACAATACACAAGATAATCCTGAAGCTGCCTTTTTTTTCAAGGTCATGTTCATACTAGCAATTATAATGATGTTTGTTGAAGTCACTTGAATGGCAGGTATAAAGGCTGCCACTTAACCAAACTGGTTGATCGGGTGACTTTGGCTGTGAGTTTTGCTCTTTACTTTTCCTTTAAAAGAACCACTTGTGTGGAAAAACAAATAAGCTATTGGACTAGCCCAAATAACCTTAAAGCTAGCAGTTTTCTGGAGAGAGACCTATCAAGCATTCTCACGAAACTGGATAAGATCCATTCACATTTCATCTAACACAGTCTTTAGGTTCTCACCATACTGACGGCCTAAGATTTAGGAATAGAAATTGTTGTTGGTGTCCTTCTTGTGATTATTTACCTAAAATATGAGTCAGTGAGTACTTAATCTTGATGTAGTGATTAGATTTTTAAAATTTGGGGTTTTCTTCTTGTGTATGGGACTCTCTTTTTTGGCACTTTCTCATTTTTCCCCCTGCCTGAATATACTAGATGATCTGGGAGCAGAACTCACTCTGGCATGAACAGAAAAAAAATGTTTTGAAAATGTCTACTTTTTCTGCATAAAAAATGTGCTAGAAAGAATTACATGTTAATGGAGACCTTAAATGGGGAAAACAAGTCTTTCAAATAAGCTTGAATGATACTGTGAGTTACAAAGCTTATTTTAATATAATCGGTTATAGAAACTATAAAACAAGCCTTGATTATCAATATTATAACCAATCATCATAAGATTGAATAAATTTTACAGGGTAGTTATAAATATGTATCCATTATTAAATACTTGATCTGAACCTTTGCTGTTTATTACACGCTTTGCTAATATTAAAGATATTAAATTCTCCTGGGAAAACCAAAAGATGCTCTTATTTATGAAAAATGTAAGTTATTATTCATATTAGCATCCCACTTTTGGAGGAACAAAAGAGAAAGTATTTTTATTTACTCTTATTGGTCAGTCTTTATAGGCATGTTATATGCATGAGCATTTTAGTCAGGATAGGGAGGGCTATTCTTGTAATATACAATTTTTAAGTCTCAGTGATTTAAGGCAGCAAGAATTTATGGCTCATTCTTGTGAGTTCTTTGTGGATCTAGACAACTCCAGTGGGCAGCTGTCATCCCCAGTGACTCAGTGATCATGAACACTTCAATCCTCTCCCCTGCTACCTGAACAAAGGTCAACTGGTTGTTCTAGCAACAGAAAAAGAGCAACTGAAGAATTATACAGCTGCTTTGCACTGTCATCACTTGGAAGGGATGCATTTCACTTTTCACATTTCATGGACACAATTAGTCAAATGAACTTAACCACAAAGAGGCTGAGAAATGTAGAGGAGTACATGGAATATTTGGTATCCTATATTTCCAAAGTAGGAAAGGATTAGGAGACATACCTTCCTGTTGGGAGTAGATACTTTGGGTAGTGGAAGAGGAAGTGGCTAGGGATGGTCACTTTATGTTTTATTCAAATCTAAATAATGTGTTTTTTTCAACAAAACTGTTTTATTTGTAATTAAAATATATTTTAAATCCTATACATCCTTAATAATTACCCATGAGGGGTAGAGGAATCTTCTTTGGCTTGATTTTTATAGAAAGGGTATGAATATTTAGCATCTTATATGGAATTTAGACTCCTCTTCATTCAGTATTGTCCTTTTAGTTTTCTTTCCTACTTAACGTTTTTGTAGTTCTATTTTTTATACAACCAAAGAGTTTTGAACTTTGTTCTGTAGGCCAATGATTCTTAATATCTGATTTGCTCATAAGTCCTTAACAAAATAACCAGAAGGTAGACTTGTAAGAAGTAAGACCTTCATGAATCCCAATGGAGTTTCATCAAAGAGAAAGATTAAATCTCCATGGGAGAATGTTTCCAATGATAAAAATTTCAGATACATTTTAGATTTAATATGATTGAAAAGTCAGAATCTAAAATTGTGTAAGCTGGATAAAGCCCTGGGAGTCACAAGCTTTCAGTGTTCACAGTAGGAAAGAGAAAGCTGTTTGGTAAATTTCCATGGGATATGGCTTCAGGGAAATCCCAATTTGTCTTTGGTTAGCTAACTTAGGAATGGCTGACCTTACGTGGGCTTTTATGTTTCCCTAGCTTACTTTGAAGGTATATAACTTGTTATTCTTTTAGACACATATTATGAATTCTTTAGATATGAATACTATCATATGGATGCAATTCTTAACATATGCTACATAAGCATAGTTATTTTAGGTATAATATAATTATGAAACAATTGCTACTCCCAAGTTTTTAAAAAAGTATATAGTCTGGCCACACAGGATAAACTAAAGGTACAGATTCATGGAGGAAATTTGAGAACTCAGTATTCTTCAAAAGATTATTTGCATGAACAAAAGAAGTATTAAGCTGAGGTAACCATAGGAAGAAGCATGAGATTTGTTCAAAAACAAGTTGCAACCTAAAATTGCACGCAAATGCAGACTGATGTTTGTATTTAAAATAACAATATGGATTAAAGGTCTGACAGTCTCCATGATCACAATATAATATTATCAGAAACAAATTCCTACGTAAGGACTATATTAGTTGCAGAAAACAGACTTCACTGTAGCTAACACAAGAAAAAAGAGGGCTTTATTAGAGGTACTATATAGTTTATAGAATTTCTAAAGAGTCAAAGAATGAGGTTTAGACACCACACAGCTGAAAAACCACACAGGAAAAACACAAATAGGAAAATGCCCAACTACCCCATGGGATTATTCTGGCGTAGTGTTCCAATTCAAGTGTGGTTTGTGGACCAACGGCTGATCTGCATACTGATACTTGTCTGGAATGAGAAAAGTGCTTGAACCAGATGGCAAATCCCCTGTGTCATTAGGCACACTATCTAGTTTACTTGAAAATATTTTCATAGCGAGACTTTAAAAAAGATGTAGTGTGTTAATTTACATTTGGATGCAAGCTCTTGTTCTTTTCTGAGATGAGCACATTAAGTAGCACTGTTTTGAAAATACACCACTACTTTCACTACCTGCCACATTACACCTATGATTCTATGAAGTGGAAGCAAACAAACAAAAAACTACACTACAGAAACTCCAGAAGAACCGAATGACTTCATCACTTTATTTGCCAGAAATTCAATTCCCTTTGAGCTACAAAAGTTCCCCAGGATCGCTTCTGCTTCCAGGTCTTCTGTGTAGCTTCCTTTTCTTGGGAGAACCAGAAGAGTTTCCAGCCCCTACTCCACATGAGAGTCTAATTTTTAAACTCCTTAGCATCTATCATCCGAAAACAAGTTAGAAAGAGTTTAGAAGTAGGTAGAGCCCTAATCCACACAACCTATCTCAGTAGCCAATCCAGGCAGGATATTTTTTTAAAGGGAGGAGATTTTTTTTTAATATTTTTTATTATACTTTAAGTTCTAGGGTACATGGGCACAACGTGCAGGTTTGTTACATACGTATACATGAGCCATGTTGGTGTGCTGCACCCATTAACTCGTCATTTACATTAGGTATATCTCCTAATGCTATCCCTCCCCGCTCCCCTCACCCCACAACAGGCCCCAGTGTGTGATGTTCCCCTTCCTGTGTCCAAGTGTTCTCATTGTTCATTTCCTACCTATGAGTGAGAACATGCAGCGTTTGGTTTTTTGTCCTTGTGATAGTTTGCTGAGAATGATGGTTTAAAGGGAGGAGATATTAATGAACAAAGTGTTGTTGCTGATTTCTCAGACATGAAAAAGGGAAGACATATGTAAAGGACCCAACAAAGGCTAGATGGTGGCCAAATAAATGTGTATATGGGCTCATTTTATTGAAAAAGCAGATGATATTATTTTTCTTATGTGTAGTTAGGAGCACATTTGTGATATACGTATGTGTAGTTTTTTGCTTGTTTGTTTTTAAAGTCTGAATTATCCACAAGAATCAATAATTTAAAAGTATTTCCATAGTGGAAGTCAATTTTGAGGCCAGCTATTTCAACCTCTTCCATTAAAACATTTTTGGAAATATGATATTGCTTACCAATATATAATAACCACTAACTATAAAAGCACCATCAAATAAATTTCTCTGGGACATGTCTTAATAAGTAGTATAATATATAATTAGCACATCTCTTTTATGTAAGTAGGTGATTCTTGAAAATTAATTGGCTTATTTTATTAGAGTAGGCATTTTCTTTGAAAGTTGTTAATTGCTTAGTAGACCAAGTAATATTTATGACTGCATATCACTTTCGAAAATTGGTGTCAAATTAATTAGTTTTATTGCACTTAAGAAATGCAAAATTATGTCACATATAATTTTAGCATTGGTCACTGGTTTTACATACAACCTAATGCTAAATAAATAGTAGTAAAAAATAGAGTACACTGGTTTAATCAAATGTTTTGAATAATAAAATGTATCATTTAAAACTTCACCTAAAAACCCTTTTCAGGTCATGAACTATTTTGTGATTCTAATAAAAGCCATGGGTGCTATTGCCAAAAAATTACACATACACACCAATTGTACATGAATTCACAGAATATTTATGGATCTTTCAAAGGCAATTCTCAGGCTTTAGCTTCAAAAAAAAAATCCTGATCAAGTCTGGGCATGGTAAATGTGCCTGTAGTCCCAGCCCACTTCAGAGGCTGAGGTGGGAAGATCACTTGAGCTCAGGATTTCGAGGCTATAGTGGGCTATGAGTGCCCCATTGCACTCCTGCCTGGGCAACAAGAAACTAAGAACCTGCCTCAAATTTTAAAAATAATCCTAATTTTACTTTAATACATAACTCAATATTTTTCATAATATGATATTTCAATTTGGAGCTGAAAGTTGAGGACTTTCAGTCTTCATTATGAAGACTGATTCATAACTATTACTGGAAATGTGATCTGGATATATAAACCCTTTAAATCTCAATTATGTTACATATAAATTGGAAATGACAATAGTTGCTGCACAAGATTACTGTAATTCCTTTAGTATGTATCCAGCACAGTGTCTGTTGTAAAATTTTAAATAAATGTTATTTACTCATTTTTATCTGTTATTTTTCTTTTGATATATTAATAAGATTGCTCAGAATCTCCTGATCACATTGTAGTTATGCAATTATGTTCAACAAATACTTACTGAATGCTTACTTTGAACCAGGAATTATACTAAAAACCTGCATAGATGATTAAGACAGAATCTCTGCTCCAGAGAAATTTATAGTACAGTGGCATGTAAAGAGAAAATTTCATGGGCAAGGACTTCATGTTTAAAACACCAAAAGCAATGGCAACAAAAGCCAAAATTGACAAAGGGGATCTAATTAAACTAAAGAGCTTCTGCACAGCAAAAGAAACTACCATCAGAGTGAACAGGCAACCTACAGAATGGGAGAAAATTTTTGCAATCTACTCATCTGACAAAGGGCTAATATCCAGAATCTACAAAGAACTCAGACAAATTTGCAAGAAAAAAAACAAACAACACAATCAAGAAGTGGGTGAAGGATATGAACAGACACTTCTTAAAAGAAGACATTTATGCAGCTAAAAGAAACATGAAAAAATGCTCATCAGCACTGGCCATCAGAGAAATGCAAATCAAAACCACAATGCAATACCATCTCACACCAGTTAGAATGGCGATCATTAAAAAGTCAGGAAACAACAGGTGCTGGAGAGGATGTGGAGAAATAGGAACACTTTTACACTGTTGGTGGGACTGTAAACTAGTTCAACCATTGTGGAAGTCAGTGTGGTGATTCCTCAAGGATCTAGAACTAGAAATACCATTTGACCCAGCCATCCCATTACTGGGTATATACCCAAAGGATTATAAATCATGCTGCTATAAAGACACATGCACACATATGTTTATTGTGGCACTATTCACACTAGCAAAGACTTGGAACCAACCCAAATGTCCAACAACGATAGACTGGATTAAGAAAATGTGGCACATATGCACCATGGAATACTATGCAGCCATAAAAAATGATGAGTTCATGTCCTTTGTAGGGACATGGATGAGGCTGGAAACCATCATTCTCAGCAAACTATCACAAGGACAGAAAACCAAACACTGCATGTTCTCACTCATAGGTGGGAATTGAACAATGAGAACACATGGACACAGGAAGGGGAACATCTCACACTGGGGCCTGTTGTGGGGTGGCGGGAGGGTGGAAGGATAGCATTAGGAGATATACCTAATGTAAATGACGACTTGGTGGGTGCGGCACACCAACATGGCACATGTATACATATGTAACAAACCTGCACGTTGTGCACATGTACCCTAGAACTTAAAGTATAATAAAAAAAGAGAAAATTTCAATATATCATAGTAAGTAATATAAGAAAGTGGCACAAGATTGTATTGGAGTTTAGAGAAGTAGTGGTATAATAATCCTAAGAATTCATGAAAGTATCCATGGTGGAGATAATACTTAAGTTGTGCCAATAATATTAACAATAATAAACTGTCTGACTGTTTAGTATATGTTGATTATTTTGCTTTATGTACTATCTAATTTGATTCCAATAAAATTCCCATGAAGTATATATCTGTTTATTTATCTATTTTTTTGGAAAAAAAATCCCTTTACAAATGTGGCTACTGGACTAAAACAGGATAAATAAAATTTCCAATGATGTGTAGTAAATTAGTGACAGAGTTAGAATTAGGGACTTCAGACTTTTGTTCTTTAACAATTGAAGAAAGTTGAGAATAACATTTCAGGTAAGGGATGTCATGGTGACATGGAATAGCATGTTTTATAAGGTAACTAAACAGAATAAAATAACAATGATAGGATATCCTAGCAGAGCAATAAGGCAAGAAAAAGAAATAAAAGGCATCCAAACAAGAAAAGAAAAGGTGATACTATTTCTCTTTGCTGAGGATATGGTTCTATACCTAGAAGATCCTAAAGACTCCCCCAAAAGACTTAGAGAATGAATAAATAATTTAAAGGTTTCAGGATACAAAATCAATACACAAAAATCAGTAGTATTTCTGTACACCAATAATGGCCAGGATGAGAGTCAAATCAAGAACACAATTTAATTTACAATAGCTACAAAGAAAATGAAATACCTAGGAATACAGCTAACCAAGGAGGTGACAAATCTCTGCAAGGAGAACTACAAAACACTGCTGAAAGAAATGAGAAATAACACAAGTAAATGGAAAAACATTGCATGGTCAGGACTGGAAGAATCAATATTGTTAAAATGGCCATACTGCCCCAAGCAATTTCATCACTATTCCTATCAAACTACCAATGTCATTCTTCACTGAATTAGAAAAAAACTATTTTACAATTTATATGGAACAACAAAAAAGCCTGAATAGACAAAGCAATCCTAACCAAAAAGAGCAAAGCCAGAGGCATCACACTACCTGACGTCAAACTGTACTTTAAAATTATAGTGACCAAACGGCATGGTACTAATACAAAAACAGATTCATAAAAAAATAGAACAGAACACAGAACTCAGAAATAAAGCCACACACTTACAACCATCTGATCTCAATAAGGTTGGCAAAAACAAGCAATGGGTGAAGGACTTATTCAATAAATGATGCTGGGATAGCTGGCTAGCCATATGCAGAAAATGAAACTTGACACTTACTATCCACCATATACAAAAATTAACTCAAGATTAATTAAAGATTTAAATGCTAGACCTCAAACTATAACAATCCTAGAAGAAAACCTAGGAAATATCTTTCTCAACATCAGCCTTAGGAAAGAATTTTTGATGAAGTTTCCAAAAGGAATTGCAACATAAAAATTGACAAATGGGACCTAATTAAACTAAAGAGCTTCTGCACAGCAAAAGAAACTATCAATAGAGTAAAGAGACAATCCAGAGAATGAGAAAAATATTTGCAAACTATGCAACCAACAAAGTCCTAATATCCAGAATTTATAAGGAGCTTAAACCAACAAGCAAAAAGCAAATAACTTTATTAAAAAATGGGCAAGAGACATGAACAGACACTTCTCAAAAGCAGACATAGAAGTGGCCAGCAAACTTATGAAAAAATGCTCAACATCACTAATTATTAGAGACATGCACATCAAAACCACCATGAGATACGATCTCATACCAGTCAGAGTGTCTTTTATTAAAAGGTAAAAACACAGCAGATGCCAATGAGGCTGCAGGAAAAAGGAAACACGTATACATTGTTGGTGGGTATATAAATTAGTTCGGCCACTGTGGAAAGCTTTCTGGAGATTTCTCAAAGGACTTAAGACAGAGATACCATTTGACCCAGCAATCCTATTACTGGGCATATATCCCCCCAAAATAGATCACTACACCGAAAAGACACATGCTTTGCTTTACAACAGCAAAGAGATGGAATCAACCTAGGTGCCCATAACTGGTGGATTGGATAAAGAAAATGTGGTACATATATGCCATGGAATACTACACAGCCACACAAAGAATGAAGTCATGTTCTTCTCAGCAACATGGATGGAGCTGGAGGCCATAATCCTAAGCAAATTAATGCAGGAATAGCAAAGTAAATATATCATGTTCTCACTTATAAGTGAGAGCTAAACATTGAGCAATCAAGAATGTAAACATGGGAGCAATAGACATGGTGGCCTGCTAGAGCGGGGAGGGAAGAAGGGGGTTGGGTTTGAAAAAATACCTATTGGGTACTATGCTCACCACCTGGGTGCAATATACCCATGTAGCAAACCCGCACATGTATCCCCTGCATCTAAAATAAAAGTTGAATTTGAAAAAATATAACAATGAGAATAATTATTATAAACACGAATAATGGTGGATAAGTTGGGATATACAGGAGGTAGCTGGATATATAAGTCCTTAGCCTAAAGATATGGTTAAAACTAGAGATAAACTGTGGTTAACATGGATTAATATGGCAAATAGGAGGCAGGACTAACTTGCAGCCCCTACTCAGACAGACAGAGTAGTGTGTGGAGACTCATATCGTAAACTTCTGCTCCAAGAACTACTTCAGGAATGTACTGGGAAAGCCAAGAGAATCCACAGACACTTTGATGGAACTGGATAACCCCTGCAGGCTCCCTGAGATGCCGAAAAACTGTGAGTCTGCTTGCTTTCTCAATAGGGAGGCTCGTTGTCTGGGGCAAGTTCTCAGCCCTGGTCACCATTTGCCTTGAAATAGACTTGGTGCTGTTGAGGGAGCACAGTGAGGGTGAGACTGGCCTTTAGGACTGCAGGCTGTGTGGGGGTGGGGTGGGGCCTGTGATTGCCAGTTTTCCCCCACTCCCATGGCAATCTGTATGACTCAGCAGAGGCAGCCATAATGCACCTGGAAATATAACTTAATGGGGCTGGGAACCACATCCCCTCCCCTACAGCAGCCACAGCAGGCCCAGCCCAAGGAGAGGCTGAGCTCAGACATGCTTATTCCTGCCCCCACCTGGTGGTTTTTCTCTAATTGCCCTGGTAGCCGAAGACAAAGGTCATAATCTCTTGGAAGTTCTATGTCCCTGCCTACCACCTGAGAAATCTGAATACTTAACCAGGTGTCCCTAGGGCAAGTTTGCTTCCTCCCTATAAGACTGCAACTGATGCACTCTTGAAAGAGCCACCTCCAAGCTGGAGGCCAACCAACACAAAACCAAAACCAATGAACCCTCACAGAGTCCACTTCTCTTCCCTGCCTCCTCCACTGGAGCAGGTGCTGGTATCCATGGTAGCAAGATGTGAAGATGAATCACATCACAGGACTCTTTGCAGACATTCCCCAGTACCAGCCCAGAGCCTGGTTGCTCCACTGCGTGGCTAGACCCAGAAGAGCAAAAACAATCACTACAGTTCAGCTCTCAGGAAACCCTACTCCTGGGGGAAGTGGGAGAACACTACCTCAAGGGAGCATCCCGTGAGGCAAAAGGACCTGAACAGCAGCGCTTGAATCCCAGATCCTCTCTATGACAGAGTCTATCCAAATGAGAAGGGAACAGAAAAACAATTCTGGTAATATGACAAAACAAGTTTCTTTAACACCCCAAATGACCATACCAGCTCACCAGCAATGGATCCAAATCAAGACAAAACCTCTGAACTGCAAGAAAAAGAATTCAGAAGGTTGATTATTAAGCGAATCAAGGAGGCAACAGAGAAAGCTGAAGTCCAACTTAAAGAAATCAAAAATATGATGCATGATATGAAAGGAAAATTATTCAGTGAAAAAGAGAGCATAAATTTTAAAAAAACACAACTTCTGGAAATCAAGGACACACTTACAGAAATGCAAAATGCACTGGAAAGTCTCAGCAATAAAATCAAACAAGCTGAGGAAGGAACTTCAGAGCTTGAAGACAGGCTTTTGAATTTACCCAATACATCAAGAACAAAGAAAAAAGAATTTAAAAATATGAACAAAGCCTCCAAGAAGTTTGGGACTACTTACATGTTAAACATCCAAACTTAAGAATAATTGGTGTTCCTGAGGAACAAGAAAAATCTAAAAGTTTGGAAAGCATATTTGAGGGAATAATTGAGGAACACTTCCTCAGTCTTGCTAGAGATCTACACATCCAAAAAAAAAAAAAGAAGCTCAAAGAATACCTGGAAAATCCATCACAAAAATATCAACACCTAGGCACATAGTCATCAGGTTATCTAAAGTCAAAACATAATGAGAGAAAATTGAAATGGAAACCAGTTTGGAGTGCTTGTGTCAGAGGCATGTGAACCAGAGCAACTCCATCTTGAGTAGGAACTGGGTAAAATAAGGCTGAAACATAATGGGCTGCATTCCCAGTTGGCTAAGGCATTCTAAGTCACAGGATGAGATAGGAGGATGGCACAGGATTGAGGTCATAAAAACCTTGCTGATAAAACAGGTTGCAGTAAAGAAGCTGGCTAAAACTCACCAAAACCAAGTTGGTGACAAGAGTGACCTCTGGTTGTCCTCACTGCTATACTCCTGCCAGCATCATGACAGTTTACAAATGCCATGGCAACACCTGGAAGTTACCCTGTATGGTCTAAAAAAGGGAGACATGAATAATCTACCCTTTGTTTAGCATATCATCAAGAAATAACCATAAAGATGGGCAACCAGCAGCCCTGGGGGCTGCTCTGTCTATGGAGTAGCCATTCTTTTATTCTTCTACTTCTTAATAAACTTGCTTTCACTTTAAAGAATAAAAATAAAAAAATAAAGTCAAGACAAAGGAAAGAATCTTAAGAGTTGTGAGGCAAAAGCGTCAGGTAACCTGTAAAGTAAAACCTATCAGATTAACAGCAGATTTCTCAGCAGAAACCCTACAAGCTAGGAGGGATTGGGATCCTAATTTTAGCCTCCTGAAACAAAACAATGATCAGCCAAGAATTTTGTATTGAGCAAAACTAAGCTTCATAAATAAAGGAAAGATACAGTCTTTTCCAGACAAACAAATGCTGAGAGAATTCACCACTACCAAGCCAGCACTACAAGGAGTTCTAAATGCTCAAAATAAGCCAAAATAGAACCTCCTTAAAGGATAAATCTCACAGGACCTGTATAACAATAACACAATGAAAAGAAAAAAAAAACACAAGGTATTCAGACAACAAATAGCATGATGCATAGAATAGTACCTCATATCTCAATACTGATATTGAATGTAAATGACCTAATGCTTTATTTAAAAGATACAGAATGGCAGAATAAGAATTCACCAACCAAGTCTCTCCTGTGTTCCAGAGACTCACCTAGTACATAAGGACTCACAAAAACTAAAGGTGAAGGAGTGGAGAAAGACACTTTACGCAAATGGACACCAAAAGCGAGCAGTAGTAGCTATTCTTATATTACACAAAACAGACCTACAATAGCAGTTAAAAAAGACAAATAGGGACATTATATAATGATAAAATAACTAGTCTAAAAGGAAAATACCACAATTCTGAATATATAGCACCCAACACTGATGCTCCCAAATTTATAAAACAATTACTACTAGACCTAAGAAATGAGATACATGGCAACACAAAAACAGTGGGGGGACTTCAATACTCCACTGACAGCACTAGGCAGGTCATCGAGACAGAAAGTCAACAAAGAAACAATGAACAAATGGACTTCTCAGATATTTACAGAAAATTCTACCCAACAGCTTCAGAATATACATTCTACGCATCACTACATAGAACATTCTTCAAGATAGACCAAATGATAGGCCACAAAATATAAGTCTCAGTAAATATAAGGAAATTGAAATTATATCAAGTATTTTCTCAGACCACAGTGGAATAAAATTGGAAATCAGCTCCAAAAAGAATCCTCAAAGCATGCAAATATATGAAAATTAAATAACCTGTTCCCGAATGATCATTGGGTGAATAATGAAATCAAGATGGAAATTTAAAAATTCTTTGAACTGAATGATAATAGAGACACAACCTATCAAAACCCTTGCAATACATCAAAAGCAGTGCTAACAGGAAAGTTCATAGCATTAAATGTCTACATCAAAAAGTCTGAAAGAGCACAAATAAACAGTCTAAGGTCACACCTCATGGTACTGGAGAAACAAAAACAATCCAAGCCCAAACCTAGCAGAAGAAAAGAAATAATGATGATCAGATCAGAACTAAATGAAATTGAAACAAACAAACAAAAAAATACAAAAAGCAAAGGAAACAAAAAGTCGGTTCTTTGAAAAGGTAAACAAAATTGATAGACCATTAACAAGATTAACCAAGAAAAAAGAGAAAAGATCCAAATAAGCTCAATTAGTAACAAAACAAGAGATATTATAACTGATACTACAGAAATAGAAAAGATTATTCAAGGCTACTATAAACACCTTTATGGGCATAAACTAGAAAATCTAGAGGAGATGGATAAATTCCTAAAAATATACAAGCCTCCTAGAATAAATCAGGAAGATACAGAATCTCTGAACAGACCAATAACAAGCAACAAGATTGAAATGGTAATTTTAAAAACCACCAACCAAAAAAAAGTCCAAGACCAGACAGATTCACAGCTGAATTCTATCAGACATTCAAAGAAGAATTGGGACCAATCCTATTGACACTATTCCAAAAGATAGAGAAAGAGAGAATCTTCCCTAATTCACTCTATGAAGCCAGTATCACCCTAACATCAAAACCAAGAAAGGACATAACAAAAAAACTGCAAACCAATATCCCTGATGAATGTAGGTGTAAAAATCCTCACCAAAACACTAATGAACTAAATCCAACAGCATATCAAAAAGATAATCCACGATGATCAAGTGGGTTTCATACCAAGAATTCAGGGAATGTTTAACATACATAAGTCAATAAATCTGATACACCACATTAACAGAATTAAAAATAAAAATCACATGATCATCTCAATAGATGCAGAAAAAGCATTCAACAAAATCCAGCATCTCTTTATGATTAAAGCCCTCAGCAAAGTTGGCATAGAGGAGACATACCTTAAGGTAATAAAAGCCATCTATGACAAACCCACAGGCAACATTGTACTGAACAGGAAAAAGTTGAAAGCATTTCCCCTGAGAACTGGAACAAGATGAGGATGCCCACTTTCATCACTTCTATTCAACATAGTACTGGAAGTCCTAGCCAGAGCAATCAGATTAGAGAAATAAATAAAAGGCATCCAAATCAGCAAAGAGGAAGTCAAAGTGTCCCTGTTTGTTCATGATATGACTGTATACCTAGAAAACCCTAAAGACTCATCCTAAAAGCTCCTGGAACTGGTAAATGAATTCTGCAGTTTCAAGATACAAAATTAATGTACATAAATCAGGAGCCCTGCTACACACCAACAGCAACCAAACCAAGAATCAAATCAAGACTCAACTCCTTTCAAAATAGCTGCAAAAAAATAAGATACTTAGGAATATACCTAACTAAGGATGTGAAAGACCTCTACAAGGAAAACTACAAAACACTGCTGAAAGAAATCATAGATGACACGAAGAAATGGAAACACATCCCATGCTCATGGATACAATCAATATTGTGAAAATGAACATACTGCCAAAAGCAATCTGCAAATTCAATGCAATTCCCATCAAAGTACCACCATCATTCTTCACAGAACTGGAAAAAAAAATGATCCTGAAATTCATATGGAACCAAAAAAAGAGTCTGTATAACCAAAGCAAGACTTAGCAAAAAGAACAAATCTGGAGGCATCACATTACCTGATTTCAAGCTATACTATAAGGCCATGGTCACCAAAACAGCATGGTACTGGTGTAAAAATAGGCACATAGACCTATGGAACAGAAAAGAGAACCCATAGATAAAGCCAAACACTTACAGCCAACTGATTTTCAACAAAGCAAACAAAAACATAAAGTGGGAAAGGACACCCTAGTAAACAAATGGTGCTGGGATAACTGGTAAGCCACATGTAGAAGAATGAAACTGGATCCTCATCTCTCACCCTATACAAAAATCAACTCAAAATAGATCAAAGACTTAATCTAAGACCTGAAATCATAAAGATTCTAGAAAATAACATTGGAAAACCCTTCTAGACGTTGGCTTAGGCAAAGACTTCATGACCAAGAACCCAAAAGCAAGTGCAACAAAAACAAAGATAAATAGATGGGACTTAATTAAACTAAAAAGCTTCTGCATAGCAAAAGAAACAATCAGCAGAGTAAACAGACAACACACAGAGTGGAAGAAAATCTTCACAATCTATACATCCAACAAATGACTAATATTCAGGATCTACAAATAACTCAAACAATTCAGCAAGAAAAAAACAATTGAATCAAAGAGTGGGTTAAGGACATGAATAGACAATTTTCAAAAGAAGATACAAAAATGGCCAATAAGCGTATGAAAAAATGCTCAACATCACTAATTATCAGGGAAATGCAAATCAAAACGACAATGAGATACCACCTCACTCTTGCAAGAATGGACATAATCAAAAAGTCAAAAAATAATAGATGTTGGCATGGATGTGGTGAAAAGGGAACACTTTTACACTGTTGGTGAGAATGTAAATTAGTACAACTAGTATGGAAAACAGCATGGAAATTCCTTCAACAACTAAAAGTAGATCTACCATTTGATCCAGCAATCCAACTACTAGGTATCTACCCAGAGGAAATGAAGTTATTATACTAAAAAGGTACTTGCACATGCATGTTTATAGCAGCAAAATTTGCAATTGCAAAAATATGGAACCAGCCCAGGTTCCTATCAATTAACAAGGGTATATATACACACTATGGAATACTACTAAGCCATAAAAAGGAACAAAATAATGGCATTTGCAGCAACCTGGATGGAATTAGAGACTCTTGTTCTAAGTGAAGTAACTCAGGAATGGAAAACAAAACATTGTATGCTCTCACTCCTATGTAGGAGATAAGCTATGAGTATGCAAAGGCATAAGAATGATACATTGGACTCTGGGGACTCAGGGGAAAGGGTTGGGGGTGGCAAGGGATAATAGACTACACGTTGGGTCAGTGTATACTGCTCAGGTAATGGGTGCACCAAAATTTCAGAAATTACCACTAAAAAACTTATTCATGTAACCAAACACCACCTGTTCCCCCAAAATGTATTGAAATAAAAAAATTAAAAACATAAAAAATTGCTTAACATTAAAGATAGCAGCAAAAATCATTACAATGTATGAAAACAGAGTATAATATAAAAGAAAAATGGTATCAAACTATGTTATATTAGCCAAAACATATACATATTCCAAAACATACACATACAATTTTTATCCATTATCTATGAATTAATTAAAAATTATTTTGTATTGCCTGTTTGCAAAAAGATTTTAGTAAAAGTAGAATCCATAGCCAAATAAAGTTAAATATTTGGTTGAAGTCAGTTAACATGTTTATTCAATGAAACTATGCTCAGTGAAAGAATCCTTTATAGACGAATTCATCTAAGCTCATGTTAAAATAAGTACCAAATAAAACAAACAAAACAACAAAAAACTAATTAAAAAAAAAACCTCCCTGTCTTTTGCTGGGAATTTAATTTAGAGCGGGGGTGGGAATCTGATTGAGAGCGATTTTTGTTTTAAAATCTACTGGACCCAAATTTCTTCAAACAACCCCATTGATGTTTTTCATTGTAAGTCTCTTATGATATTTTGCAATTTTTAACTTATAAATATCTGAAGTTAATATCTGGAGGCTGAAGGAAATTTAGACTATTTCTAAAAACATAGTCTCTTATTAGAATGTTCCATTTAAAAGGCAGTTATGTTGACAAGACTGAATCTTCCATCTCGATAGTTTAAAGGTTAAAGGAGATCATGTGGAAAATCAGATTTTATTTTCTCATTTCATTCATTTTTAAACCATCTCAATACTTTATTATGGTAGTCAACAGCAATACAGAGAACTTTTTTTAAAAAAAGAAAAGAAAACTCTTACTTTTTGTAGTTGCATAGTTAGCTTCATTCAGCCTTACTGATCATTTCAAATACAGCGTAGGTCCGTTGATTGAAAACCTGATTCACTGTTAAAAGAACAGACGTATAGTTACTAATCTTGGATGGATCCATACATGACTTCATCAGAGATCAGAGAAGGTGATAAGGAAAGGGCATGTAATCTTGTGTTTAAGAGTTCAGCAATGCTAGGGCAAGAGGAATGCATGCCTAAAAGTACCAGGAAAGAAAACCTGCGTTATTAATTTTTTTCCTTTCCATTAATATTTAAATTCTTAAAGCAAAACTTTCATCTAAATATGTACCTCAAACATACATGTATTGTCTGGAGACTTGCATGTTTTTGAATGCATATTTGATAATGTATGAGTCATTGTAGACCACTCAAAATTTTTATCTCCTAACTTTTCATTTTTTTCCTATAGTTTTTATTGTTTGTCACAGGGAATAGGAAAAAAATGGTTATTCCATTAATGCATTAGAGAAGCAAGTTGAAAATCAGGTTAGGGAGATATTAAGCAAAGGGCAAATGGAACTATTCATGAAGTTATTAAAAAGAATAAATAAAAAATGAAGACCTCAACAGCAGGAATAAGACATTCTTATGAGAGATTAATATTTCAAATATGAGATTGGCTGCAGAGATAGAATGGTATGTACGATGCCATGTGCCCAGCCAACCCCAATTGCTAACTTATTGAAAACATATTGAGTGTGCATTTATAATAGAAACAAAATCAGCAGTGTGGTTACAGGCAATAATAGTAAGTATTTTAACTGAGAAATACTTTTAACAATGACACAAATTATTTTCTTGCATCTTAATATAGCCAAAAGCTGCTTGTATGTTTTTATTGTAAGCAAATAATCTATAGCATGTAACTGGTATGTAGCTTTGATTTTTGGCTATTTAACAGCCTTGCTACATTACAATAAATTATAATGTGTCAAACAAATGGTGATAATTGGAGGATAATTTTACTTTTGAAAAAAAAATTGATGCTTTAGACTCAAAGCTATTCTTCCTTTAATCATTTCTTTCTTTTTATGATTTAAAAAATCTTTCTGTCAACAAAGTCCCCACAGAGTTTCATGATTAGTGGAATACAATTTTAAGAGAAGAGGACAGAAAGATTTATTTGTGTGGAATCATCTCATTAGGGATTTCAGTGGCTGAAAGTTTAGGTTGAGGGGTAAGTTGTTTATTACCAAAGTATGAATGTTCTACTGTAACTTTTTGGCTACTTTATAGAAAAGGGCTGTGTATAAAAGAAAGAACCAGAATATGTGACATTTGTGATTGAGAAGATAGATAGCTATGGTTTGATGTAGATTAATAAGGCTTGGCCATCTAATGGGAAAGGTAATCTAATCATTTGATAGCTATTATACTCCATCTTTGATTCTGAAAGCATTGACTGTCTTCTGGGAAAATAAGGAGTGGACATTTTTAAAGTCTCTTATCATAAACAACAAACAGTACCTGTAATGAGCTTTATTTAACTTGTATTTTCTATATTTAATCTAGACAATAGAGGTATTAGAATGACAAATAGTAAAGAATATACATTAATAATAGTGTCCTGTTTATGTATGCTAAACACCTACCGGTGTTTAGCAAAAGTAAAAGAGCTAGTTAGCACTATGTAAGTACATTCACTCTCTCCCCTCAACTCATCCCCTTTCCAGGAAGAGAAAGAATAAAGGATTACGGCTTATAAGAATAGAGTTTCTTGTGTAGAAATGCAAAGACAAGTTTATGGAGTCTGCCTAATGAAGGATAAAGTTATAGACTGGAAAGATGTTAGTAAGCTAGCTAGTTAGTGCAGTTCTATATATCACATTCTATCTTTTCTCTGAGCAATTAACAGACTGTTTTGTCTCTTTATCATATTGATACATAGTCATTATGATACCTTTTCAAGTAGAAGAAGTCTTTTGTCCTCTATAATTGCTCATAAAGCACTCTTGTGAAATTCAGTAATGTATAACGAAAATATAGTTCCTTGGGACTTTAACTTTTGTGTTCATACATGCAATCAACAGATTTCCAATAATCTATGTGACCCAGCAAACACATATTGAAGTGCATTTCTTCTTCAGCCCTGAAATACATCAAATTTTATATTTCTAATTTTAAGACATTGTAGGTCAGCCTAGTCCCTTAGCTTTTTCAAATTCTTTAAAAAAAATCCTCAGGCCAGGCGCGGTGGCTCACGCCTGTATTCCCAGCACTTTGGGAGGTCGATGCCGCTGGATCACGCGGTCAAGAGATCGAGACCATCCTGGCAAACATGGTGAAACCCCGTCTCTACTAAAAATACAAAAATTACCGGGCGTGGTGGCAGGCGCCTGTAGTCCCAGCTACTCGAGAGGCTGAGGCAGGAGAATCCCTTGAACCCAGGAGGCGGAGGTTGCAGTGAGCCGAGATCATGCCACTGCACTGCAGCCTGGGTGACAGAGTGAGATTCAGTCTCAAAAAAAAAAAAAAAAAAAAAATCCTCAATAGTTTTAACTCTCAGTTTGGTCCATAAGTTCTGTTTCTTGTATTTTCTCCATGTTTAGGGTCTCCTGGGCATAAAAATATTGCCTAAATAACTCTGAGGCTTGCACTATCTACAAGTAGAAAGGATTCCAAATGAAAGAGTAGCAACATTCTTATCTAGTCAGAACTTGCAGAGAAGATGATAAACACCAAATGAACATTGCAAAGAGAAAACAAAAAGTATATTCTCAATTTGCTTTCGTTTACATTTCTCTCAACAAACCACAAAATTATAAAATTAAAAATTAAAAAGGGAAATTGCAGTTAAGATTCTGTGAACAGCTGACTAATGTAAATATTTTATACAATGTGATTCCCAGAGATCCTTTTGAGTACATCAATTGGTTTGAATGGCTGTTTACTTGCAGTCTGTTTTCATTCAGGCTTTTAACTGAAAAGCTGGAATGTATAGTTTGGAAATGAGGAGACATGTTAAATTTGAGATATGTTTGAATGTTACAAAATAAAGATTTGAAATATGTTTTGTTAATTTTAAATCATGAGATACTTAGCAATGTCACATTTGAAAATATTTTCTTTATAAAAATGCATTAATTATTTTCAAATTATTGCTTCTACATTAAAAGGGTCTATACAGACAGCCTTAAAAGAGTATATTTCTACATTTTTACATTTAAGTGGTCCCTATACTTAGCTTTATATATAATAATGTCTATGTGAATATATGGTTCTGCAATATTCAGATTTTTTTCTTTTTCTAATGAGAATCCTTTGACAATCATAGAGAACTTTAGAGTTATGCCTTTATAATTATGTTAAGTGGTAAAGTTTAAAGATGACAGTGTCGATTACGAGGATAGGCTTTTAGGTTTTACTGAAACTGTTTATCTAAAAATAGTAAGGCGAGCTAAGGTTTAATTTAAATACCATGTTACAAATAAACTTTTGGCGGAATTTCGATCTGTGTTAACTGCTACCTCATTACTCTTTAAATTTTTAAAAATTGTTCCTACTGTTCTTCCTTGAAGTTTTCTTCTTTCTCAATTTGTCCATTTTGAAATAATAGGATACTCATTGCAGCAGGAATGAAATTTCTGCATTTTTCTTTTCAAAGATATTTAATTAAGAGAAAGAAAACAAGAGTGGAAATGAAGCATGTCTGGTTATCCTGTGTTTGACTCATACTACTGGTGAGGATAGGGATAAGGCCATACAGTAACCATTACACTTCTTAAAGCAGACCACGGCAATTGATTTCCATTATCTAGCATAGCATCTACCATTGCGCATGCTTCTCAGATTTTAGAGGACACAGACTCTTAAACAGAAAACTCTAACTTTAAAAAAAGTCACCAACACCAATTAAAAGATGTGGAATCTGACTTCAAGTCTCAAAGACAAATATAATTATAAATTTTTATATCTAACAGTTGAAATCTTTGATCAAAAGATCTGTTTTAACATAATATCATGATTTGAATCCTTGCATTTTATGCAAATGTTGAATGTTATCGCCCGCTAACCTAAATCAGAATATTTTAAACCTATAGAATGCTATGGTCCACTAACTTAAATTACAATATTTTATACTCCTCACCTACTTTGTTCTTTTCTTTTTTATGGGATTATTTTTGTTTGCCTATTCTTAAAACATATCATGATGGTAAGAAAAGAGAACTATATTTATCCCTTCAGTTCAAAAAAGGAATTACTAATTACACTGTTTATTGAATGACTTGTAGGGCTGTGTTTACACTGTGGGAAGAAGAAAGTTGTATCTTGTGTCTTACCAAAAGAGATACTTCCTCATATTAACGGTTGATTTTAAATGTAGATCTGTAATTTTACTGAACAAGAAACTGAGACAGTGAAGTGACATCCAGAAAAATCCTTTCAGACTACACAGCAAAACCCTTGATTCTCAGTATAATATCCCATGTGCAAGACACCTCTGTTTTAAGTTTAAAGAAATATACTCACATGACTTAAAGCTTATGTAATGCACACTTAGCTTTAATGTTAATGATACCATTCTGATAAAGTAGGTGGGTAATGAATATGGATGTTTCCACTGAGTATTGCATATGCGTAAAGTAAACATAAATGAAGGAATGAAGTTGTTGAGGTTTTTTATTTCCCACAGATTAATTCCATTCAAAGTGTCCTTCAGCTATCTAGAAACTTGTTTTGTGCTGCCATCACTTCAAGGGTCTTTCATCCCACCTGACTTACATGCTACAACTTGGGGAATGATGGAGATATTTTAAATGGAGAAAAATGTAAAACATTATTTTTTTTAAAGAATTTAAAACATACACATTTTCTAAGCCTATTATTACACTTTCGAAACATTCTTTCATTAAAAATGGATGCCTAATTTTGTATAGTTATGGTACCTAATGAATAATAAAAAGCTATGACTTGCTTAATAGACATCATGCCAGACAATTTCAAATTAAAACCCCTGCAACACTCCATGTAGAATAAGCCATGATGGAAGGAGAAAGATGCAAATTCTCAAGTATACCTTATGCAGCTTCTGATAATTGAGTCATTGGAAAAGTGCCACAGGACCATCTGGCTGGCTGCATGGAAGAGTATGCTGACCTGGACTAACAGCCACACAGGTAACCTCTTAGCTTATAGCTAAGCTTGTTCATTTGATTTTCTCTTAAAGGAAAAATTTTGTAGGGCCAAATGGGCAATATTAGTATGATTGTTCTATGATGGCTGCTGGATGATGAAAACCAAGAAAGGAGGCACAGATGAAGGAAAAAGTGGCTATGGCTATTCTTCCTGTGGTAATTTTTGTGTCAATGTCCTGGCACAGTTTAAGTACAAGATTCTGAAGTGGGAGCTCACTGTCTTTGGGTCTGAGGCTGCACATGAAGGAAGCTATCTCTATTCCTAATGTCATCCTTTGTAAGTCTTTGTATGTTAGTTGCAGTGCCAACACCTTAATGGACATTTGTACAAACAGGCTGTCGATGCTTCCTCTCCCACAAAATGTTTGATGCTACAAGAAGCAGGAAAATATTGTGAAAGAAATTATTACAAATGATTTTACAGCAAGAGCATAAATTTCCTATAAAGCAAACTTAATTATGGGGGATATACATTAATTTATAAAACAGAACTGGTCAGTTAGGGTTCTAACTTTCCTTTGTAAATTTCAGTACTTCATCTACCTTATAATAATCCAAAGGTACTTATATCCTCCCCAGGATTTCCAAACTCTTGTTTTGTGGATCAGCAATAACATGTACCTTAAGACACTCTGACCCCACATATTTATTAAATCGAACTGACTTCTAAAAAATGTCATTTTCTACTCTCCTTTTCCTTTTCTACTTTGTCCTCTTTCCCACAGCAAGTGATTTATACTTTGGTTATCTGATCAGGCCTGACTTTTTCTTGAAGGAATGAAGGTTAACGGCATTTTCTCTCTGTCTTTCTGTGTCCTGTGTCATCAGTTTCCACCTATCAATAAATGACACATCGACTTTTTGACTAATAAAACATTAAGTGTAGAACTGTTGTTTCTTCAGTAATAGCACATGTTGCCTCATTGTTTTGGGGAAATATAAGAAAAGGTTCATGGGATAAATAAATATTAATTTTAACGCATATGGGAAATATAAGAAAAGGTTCGTGGGATAAATAAATATTAATTTTAATGTTTATGGAAAAGAACTGGCCAAAGAGGTGGGAAGACATTTAGAGAAGGAAAATATTAGAAGACCTGTTGGCTAAGAGAAGTACAAGAAGAGATCTCGAAAAACAGTTTGGATTTAATATAAGGAGTCATAGTTTTTCAGCCAGTGTGAAAAGCATTGTTTTTGAGTACTCAAAAACAAGAACATTTTGCTAAAGGGATCAAGGTAAATGCACTGTGTATTGAAAGAATGGGAAGAAGTGAGTAGGTAATAAGAGTAGCTGCCTCGACGTCTCTCTTTTTTTCTTTTTTTGAGACGGAGTCTCGCTCTGTTGCTAGGCTGGAGTGCAGTGGAGTGATCTCGGCTCACTGCAAGCTCAGCCTCCCGGGCTCATGCCATTCTCTTGCCTCAGCCTCCCGAGTAACTGGGACTACAGGAGCCCGCCGCCACCACGCCCGGCTAATTTTTTGTATTTTTAGTAGAGACGGGGTTTCACCATGTTAGCCAGGATGGTCTTCATCTCCTGACCTCATGATCCGCCCGCCTTGGCCTCCCAAAGTGCTGGGATTACAGGCTTGAGCCACTGCACCCAACCTGTCTAAACTTTCACTTTCATTCAAGGGACCTCGATCATGCTGAAGCCCGTGATGACCAACCATTTGCTTTATTTTCATTCCTTCAATTTAGTTGTCAATCAAATTTTAAGCATAAATAAGTACAAATTTAGAGCTGGCATTAAAAAGTACCTTCGTGATCAACCAGCTCACATTTCATGGATAAGAGAATACAGAGCAGGGAGTAATTTTCCTAAAGCTGTGGAGCTGCAATTATAATATTGTAGAGTTTTATGCCTTATTACTCATTTTCAACTACGTTATGTTATCTTGTGAAATACAGATCCATCCATGTGAAATATTATTTTTCCTTTATGAGCAAACATTTTCTGAGATGTCAGTAGATGGACTTAAGGACTCAGAGCTGGATCGTAACAGGACAGGGTCTAGACTAACCCCAGGTATTTTTCACTACATCATGTTTTCTGCCATACTCAAGGCCTGCAAAAAAAAGCAATAAGAAAATCCTGGAGGGTCAGATTTATTACCGTCATTAGTATAAGGTGAGAGAACAAAATATTTTTTGACACAGCAATCATCTAGCATTATTATATGTTCTGCTGAATGGAAATATAGAAGATTTAACTAGTTTAACAGAAATATTTTCAGCAGAAATACAAGAATAAACATTAATGAAAAGTGTATCATCCAGTTATATTACCCAAAATGCCTATGTAGCATAATGTGTCCCTGTCTCACCAGATGCCAGTTCTGTAGAGAATATAAGGATAAATAAAAAATTGGGTTGCTCTCGATTACCCAGAGAAGAAAGGACATGCTTAACAGTAATTGAAATGAAAGAGAGCTCAGAATGAGGAATAAGGCAGTGGAAGAGGATTGGCTGTAAGAAATCTCACCTGCACCTCCTTCTAGAAACTTGGTAGGACTTCCCGAGGCCAGAAGTAATCCAGATTTCTTCTGAGGATCAGATAGAGTTTCTCTTAGAACCTCCTAGGGGTTGAATGACAAGACCATATTGGAATCCCTTCGATTTTTTTTTCTTTTAAAACAGGCTTAAAAGATCGCAGGTTACTAGTTTAAAACATAGTCTGTATATTTCAGGATATTTTTTACTCACAGTCTATAAATTCAACTAAAATTTTTCAAGTAAAATCCATGATAAATTGGCTTCACTTTAACCCTAGCTCTAAGGGTTAGCTCCAAATATTAGGGAAGGTTTTATGTCTAAGTAAACTTTATTTTTCTCTTCTTCATTCTTTGTTATATTTCCTCTAAATAACTCACTCCCAGTTGAAACCTTGTATTTTAATTATTATTGATACACTTCATGGACTTAACAGATTCTTATGGTTTAAAAACAAAAGCAAAAAGAATGACAACACAATTTGCAGTTTACTTAGTTTTTCCCACTATGCCTTGCTTGAAAACTAGTTTGTAGGTCTGGATGAGCTCTTAGGAAACCATTGATGAAAGAGCACATACCTGTCCACTTACCGAAAAATAACTGTAAGATGATATGGCATCATAACAAAATGAGTTGATAACATGCTAAGTCCTGTCTTGAATATGTGACTCTGTTTCTGACTGTACACTTGTGCAGTTCTTTGGGATGGAAGTAGTGGGAAAAAGTAAAGGGAAAAAAAAAACACATTGGTATGTCTCAGTGAAATTGTGATGCTCCATTTAGTATGTTGAGCAATGACAGACATTATCTGAAATCATATGTATGATATTATTAAAACATTAGCATGTTAAAAATACTGGCAAGAAACTAAAGATCTAGTCTATGTTTGTGCCTATCTTGCATGTTTGTTTGTCAAATATTCTGAGAAAATAAATTACTTAACTCTTGTCAGGCCAATTTTTCTTCCTTCTAACTCTTTAGCAACAGAGGGATTCAAATGAATGTATTAGTTGTTTTAAGCACTTTAAAGCAGATATTTAAATCTAAAAAAAGTATTTCAATTACTTTATAAAAAAAGCTAAGAGCTTTTTTTAAAAAGGAAAAGAGCTTTTTCTTAAAAGGGAATAATGATTGAATACATTTCCCATCAAAGTGAAGGATTAATAGCAGTGAATAAAAGTCTTCCACAAACTTTTACACAATGTGCCGCGAAAATTCATTTTCTCCTCCTATTTGCTCTCTGATGTTTTGGCTCCTTGCCTTTTATACAACTAACATGTTTAGTTTTGTCAAATTGGAGAAAACACAATAGATCATTTTATATGTGAACTAACATTTGTAAAGAAGTATATGCTTTTTTATTATCCCACAATAAAAATAGTCTAAGAATAGTTTATAGTCATTTGTTTTCTGCAAAATCATGAATACAGCTAATAGTGCATGATTTTTATTTATTGTTTATGTGGCTGGTAGAACTTCATTGATGAACTGAAAATTGTCAGTATCATTGAAATGTTTTATCATAACCTGAGAAATTTAGAGAAGCTCTCTGAACATCTTTAGGACTTTTATGTGGTCTCTCTTGTTTACTAGCTTCAGATAATTTTTTTTAATTAAAAGCAGATGAAGCATCAACACAATGAATGGGAGAGACATTTAGCTAGAAAGAGTCTGGGGAAGTTTCAGACTTCTTTTAAATGCATAGATGTAAAATTGGTGTAGTTAGAAACATACCAATTTTACATCTTAGAAACTACACCAATTTTATATTATGCATTTAAAAATATAATTTTATTATTCAAATTATTGTACATAAAATTCCTATGTAAGAGAAAATAATCCACCTTTCTAGATGTGAAGTTAAAAGCTTTCTTGCAGTGAGACAACACTTTTCTTTCTGGTTAAAGTTATGACAATTGAAAGGAATGATCTTTTAAAGAATACTTTGGTGTTTCCAAAGATTCTATTGTTTAATCTGCTAAGGAATTCGATTCTCACATCAGTAGAAATTTTAAAACTCCAACAGGACCATACTATTTCCTCAATAATAGCAAGGGAATTAACTTTAATACTGTATATTCACAAGAAACCTCTGTGATAAAAAGATGCCTCTCAGTCCTATTATTTAATTGATCTTTTTGGAACAGTTCATTTGTACTCCAGAAAAAAATAGTAAAGTAGGTTATTAAGTTCTTTCAAATGTATGAAAACAATGGTGACTAATACCCAGAAGTCTTTTTATGAAAGGCTTTTGTGTTTGAACCGTCTATATTCTAATCTCCAATAGGTGGTTCTAGGCTTACTATTATTATTATTTTAAGCCTAAAACTTCCTTGGTAGAATTGAAATAAATTTGATTTAAATTCCTTTTATTCACTTAAGATTGCATGAAATGGGTTTTACTTGCACAACGTAAAATATGTTACATTTCAAAGCATTGTACTTTACCCTTCATTTCCTGTCTAGTCATTTAGAGAAAGCCACACTGTGTGGCAGAAAAAACACCAATTGAGCAGTCAGGAGACATGGGTTCTAGCTATTTGACCTTGAATTAAGCTTCAATTAACTTCTTTATGCCTCAGGGTCCATATCTGTTACATAAAGGAGTTTTCAGAGGTTGCAAATCAGCGGTCAAAGCTAGATTCAGCCCACAGATACATTTCGCTTGACCCACATAGTATTAAAAAAAAAATGAAAATGGTTGTATCAATTTACACTCCCATCGGCAGTGCATTTGAGTCAAAGTTGCTCTATATTCTTACCTATACGTAATATTGTCAATCTTTTTCATTCTAGATATTTTGGCTTATTTGTTGTCATATTTCATTATGGATTTAATTTGCATGTCCCTGATGACTAATAAAGTTAAGTGCCTTTTCGTATGTTTCCCAGCCTTTTGGATAGCCCATTGTGTGAGATGTGTGAGATGCCTGTTTGATTTTTATTCCTTTGGCCTATTTTTTTTTTTTGAAGTTGAATTGTCTGGGTTTTTTTCTTATTGATGTGTTAATGAGTTCTTTAGATATTCTAGATATGAGTCTTTTGTTGAATAAATGAATTCAAAGCATGTTCTCCCACTATGTCTTGCCTTTTCATTCTTTTAAAGGTGACTTTAGATAAACTAAAATTTTCAAGTTAAGTGAAGGTCGATTTTTCAACATTTTCCTATAATTTATAGTTAGTATTTTTTAATTTTGTTGTTTAAGGAATATTCCTCTCCTCCAAGGTTATAAAAATATGTTCCTTTGTTATATTCTAGAAGCTTTATCTATGTACCATCTGAATTAATTTAGTAGATATTCTTTGGCACCTATTCTATGGTTCAGTAATTCAATTTCAGGGTATAGAAGTGCATACATTTGTGCACAAATGAAATGTCCAAGAATGTTTATGGCAGTTTTATTCATACTGGCCAAAAATTGTAAACAACTATTTATCAGCTACAAAATGTATTGTGCTATACTTACGCAAAAGAGTATTACACAGGAGAGAGAATGAACTACTGCTGCATGCATCAACATGGGCGTATTTCACAGATAGAAAGAAAAAGAAGCCAGGCACAAAAAAGTAAATGCTGTGCGATTTTTCTTAAATAAAATTCCAAACTAGGCAAAACAATTATGATGACTGATAACTGAATAGTTGTTACCTTTTGGAGGAAAGGTTAAGACTTGAGAAGGGATATGAGGAAGACATCTGGATGGCTGATAATGTTGTTTTTCTCTGGGTGGTGTGTGTATAGTTCCGTAAACGTGGTGAAAACTCATCAATGTGTACACACAAAATTGGCCCTCTCAATAATTATTAAGTATTAAGAAAGGTAAATATTTATGAGGCTAATATTTTAGACTTATGTAAAGATAAAGCTATCATTTCTTATGGAATAGACCTAAGATACTAGCTCAGAGTAATCTCTATTAATCCATGTCCACCTTTCTTTAAGATTCCTAACCAGTCTTACTTCTAATTTTCCTGCACAATTACAGAAGATTATTCTTGTCAAAATACCCCACTTTTGATCATGTTGTCTGCCTACTTAAGAATCTTTAATAATGCCCCTCCACCTATAAACTGCATATCTTAAACATTTAAAGTGTTTATAACACAATGCTGGATGTGTGCAGGAAGTAACCAATAGGTATTGAGGACCAATTATGTATCAGGTATATTAAATTGGTTACTTTAGTAAATTTAACCCTTATATCGGACCTATTAGTTAAATAACATAATGTCATATTTTATGTTGAAGAAACTGAGTTTTTACATAGTCTGAAGTTAGTTTATAGGGAAAAGGAACAAGATAAAAATACAGATCTCTAAGACTCCAAAGACTATTTTTATTACACCACATAGCTCCTACAGTCACATATAAGTTCCCAGTCTATTTTATCCTCAATTTCTCGTCTTTATTTCAAACTAACTTCGTTAAAAATCTGCCTTCCTCAATCTATCTTTCACTTTTTTATCTCCTATTTTTTCTTCATTCTAATTCCCCTAATAATGTGAATTATTTTCTTTTTTATTTTCCATCTACATGTATGTTAGTCATTCTTCCAGATCACTTTTAAGTCTACCTTTATTCTAATGCTTTTCTTAAACACCAGGGTATAATAATCTTTTTCTCTTCTGAAATCTTAACTGCAATTATTTCTGGTTACAAATAATTTATTATGAATAATATATTTTAAATTCAGTTATTTTTAACTTGATATTTATCTAATTTTCATAATTATGTTGAAAACTGAATACAGAGAAAATGCTTATACTTTTTCATCTCTTCCCTCAAAAGTATTCAAAAATAATAAAAAATGAAGTATAGTTTAGGAAAAATGCTCTATTAATTGGAGTTTTATAGGTCTACATAAAAATAAATTTTGTGGGGTCAGTTTTACACAAATACAATTATGCCTTTTACTCAAATAGACAGATGCATGACATGCAGATGATAAACAGATTAATAACCTAGAGATTTTCTTATTTTTTTTAAATCTTCCTTATCTCTTACTTGTGCTCTCATTCACTCCCATAAGTCTTCCAACCTCACCACTACACTAATGTAGATTGCTCTTCTCAAGATCCACAGCAAATAACACATTGGTCTCATTTAACTTTGACCGTCAGTGATTTTCCCAGCATTTGACCACTCTTCCTTCTGAAACACTGTTCACTGTGTTTCCATTGCAAAGTACTCTTGATTTTTCTCTTTCTTCATTCACTACTCTATCACCGTCCACTTTGCAAACTCTTCCTCCTCTATCTTAACTCCTAATGTTGGAAGTCATTTACTTATTTATCCATTCATCTACTGAAGAATGTCTTGGTTAATTTCATGTTTTGGCAATTATGAATTAGGCTGCCATGAGCATTGGTGTGCAATTTTATGGACATAAATTTTCAACCGCTTTGGGTAGACATTTTTATGGAATTTTGATGGAGGGGATAATAACCAAATAATAAAATACAATGGGCTAGACATTGATATGTACTGTGGAGAAAAACAATACAGGGTAAGGAGAATTGCACGGACTGGGGGCTGCAATTCTCCAGTTTACAGAACTGGCTCCCTAATTTGTGAGGCCTTGTGCAAAATAAATATTGACTTTACAAGTTGCACACCCAGAAATACAGCCCTGGGTGGCTGCGGGAATCACTGAAATAATATGTGAGCCAAGACTTTCAGGAGGCAGGGAATGGAGGGATGCATATCTACAAGAAAAGAATGTTCCTGACTGAAGGGATAGCAAGAATAAAGGCCCTCAGGCAGGAACACATCTTGTGGATTCAAGCAACAGTGAGGCTCGCAGCATGGCTGGCTCCAGCAGAGAGAATAGAGGAGCTTAAGTCCAAGATTAAATGGTGGGTCAGGTCAGGTAGGGTTTCATAAGCCACTGTGTAATTTGAGGATAGTTTAGAGAACATCTGACTTAACTTTCCACAGGAACATCTTGTTTTTATGTTAAAGAATAGATTGCAAGAGAAAAGAGTGACAATATGTGGGGTCAAGTCCTAACTGGCATCTTCATTTGAATTTCTCATAGACACTTCAGATGTAACATGTCCAGTAAATAATTCTCGATATTTTCTCCCAATTTTTTCTCCTCAATCTTTTCCCTATCAGAAAATGGCAACAGCATTCATTTAGTTGTCTAAGCCAGAAAGCTTGATTCTTGTTCTTCCTTAATCCTCCCCCATCTCATTAGTCAGCAGCTCCTATCACTTATGTCCAGAATAGTAATCTTCAATCCATCCACTCCATCCATCTTCACTGACATTTTCACTCACCTAAGTCACAGGTTTCCCCTCCCTGGTCTGCAATAACCTCCTGATTGTGTCCCTCCACTTTCACTCATGTTGTATATAGCAGCTTAAGTATTCATTTTAAGGTGCAAATAAAATTATATCTTTTCTCTTCTTAAAACCCTTCAATTCAAAGCTTTCTCACTGTATTTTGAATATAATCAGAACTGCTTGCCATGTTCCCCAAGGCACTGCATGATCTCCTCCTGTTCTAGTCCTGTTCCTGGTCTCAGATACAGTCTCATGTCCCTCCCCCAATTAGCTCATTGTCTACTATTGTTCTTCTGACAATTGCAGCACTAATATTACCTCTATCATAACAGTGGTAATGTACAGCAGGTAAAAACTAAGAGGAAATATTTTTCACAAATATTTGGCCACATATTTAATAATTTACAATAATAATAAGATATCTCTCTTGTTCATCATTGTCTTATCAGCTGTATAAAAGTGAGCACCACATTGTAGGTACACTACAGATATGCAGTGATAGAGCAACTACATTAAAAACAAGTGACTGTTAATTCAAACTCTAGTTCTTTCTGAGGCCATAAGTGTTCTATTAAGCAGAAGTAATAAAATTTAATTTATTTCAAAGACTTCAACTAGTTTGTGCTGTATTTTCCAAATACACCATACCGCAGAAAAAGATATTTTCTTCTTAGTTTCATGAAGACCTGATAATCTTCCTAAATAATATAAAATATCTGCCATAGTTATAGTTTTCATTTTAGTGACTCTAAACTTGAGAATAATTTAAATGACAGTAGATTAATTTACAAATAAAATATTTTATAATTTTCTTCAATTCAGTGATTGTGGGACACAATAACAACACTTCTGAGGTGAAATACAACCTAGTGGATGTAGCCGTAAAGTTTGAGGAAGAACTAGAAAAAAATATTGTCGCAAACATTTGCGCATTGGCCATGTATTTAGTAATATAGTATTGTATTTAGGGAAACAGTTTTTGTTTCACAAGTTCTCTTTCTTCCCACTTGGGCTTTTAGGCAAAATGGAGTATTAAAGGGAGAAGTTTTGAAGTGAAACTGGGATAACTTTAACCTCAGTTTTTCTCACAAGAGGAAAAATAAAACTGCCTTCTGACCTTCGGTCTTTACCTCCATCTCTATTAACATATACGTTAGGGCAAGAAGTCAATGTAAAATCAAAGCCTCACTTTTAATTGTTTCTCATCATATCCATTATCACCTGATTATATGTTGCCTAGTTTGTGGCCTTTCCATGTCACCAGAAGTCTTGAAAGGAATTCATATTGAGTAGATCAATATACCCAACTGCTACTTTCCAGATACTCTAAGAGATTCATAGCCAAACTGGGGCGATAAGGCACAAATGAATTCACTTGGGGGACAGGACAAAAAACTGCCAGTTAAGGTTTACCTTGTGATGTTCGGGAAACATTTACCAAACATACAATATTAAAAAAAAAATTGAGAATTTTGGCAACTAAAGGCATAGCTATTGCCCTCAAGAATTCACAATCTAATGGAAAATGTGATAAACAAATGTATAATGGAAATAATCTTTAGTAAGTAGGATATAAGATGGAGGAGAGTCTAACCATCCAGTGTGGGGAAGGTGTCTTGAGGTCAAGAAAGTCTTCAGAATTAGATAATAATACTGAAAAAAAGCTTGAAGAGAAAGAAAGATGTGGAGAAGGAGTAGTTCATTTCAAACAGTAAAAACCAACTTGGGGTAAGAGAAGATGACACATTTGGAAAATAATATTTTCACTGACAGGCAAGAATGTCATGATATAATAGAGTAGAAAACAGGTCCCAAAAGATAAGTTCTTAAGATCAAGTAAGCACCTTTTGATCTGAGTATTCTCCTTTTGATGGTGACCAAAGGCAGTTTCTTAAGGGCATTTCTGTCTTGGTTTTCTTAGGATGAGTGTTCTCTGAGAAATAGCCTGGTCTCCAGCTACCTACTTTGAAAAGGGGTAAAATTCAAGGAACTAAAGTGTCTGCTGGCATTTATTTGTTTCCCTATAATTCTAGTGATAGTTTAAATATTTCTTCTCACAATGTCTCTATTCAAATACTAACAAGTCAGAACACACACTAAAAAGGATATTTTACTGTTGCAAAGTCTGTAATATTAAGATTACACATTTCAACACCTAAATCTGACACTTTTATTAGAGAATCACATTATGAAAAAATGAAACTTGAACTCCTTCTCCTTTTAGGATTCTAATGCTTTTTTGGAAAGCATGCTGCACTTTCATTGAAAATTATACTTTGATCTTCATTTGAGTACAGATATTCTGCACCTCACTTATGCTTAAGACAATGCAACGTGTTTGTTTTGTCATTACTACTAATCCGGCTTTGATTTCTTTGAACTGTTGGCAACAGGTAATTCAGCTTAAGTGTTTTCTAGACAGGTTTTGTTCTTTATTGGATGATAAAATTTCTCTGGTGTTAACACCTAAAAAGACTGTCTACTTTCGCTTTCCTCTTCTAATTATCGGATATACTGTTAAACTGCATCCAAGAAACCAATTTAGCATTTTAATTGAGGAAGACCATATTAATTTAAGCAACTTCTGACCTTTCCTAAAAAGAGAAGTTTAAAAAGACAATCAAAAAGGTAACTCGAAACTCCTAGGATTAAAAAAATAATGCTTTAGGAGATAGTTTCTGGGTGCCATCATTCACAGCTTTTTCTTCATTTTGTATTTGCTATAGACATAGTAGGAATTTCTGGTATAAAATATCAGAAAACAAATGAATTCTGTTCTGTGTTAAAATATCAGCGACAACTTGGCAAAAATATACAATGGTGAGCATAGATAAATATGTTTTTAGATTTCAATAAGCCAGTTCTTTTTAATAAAATAAAATTTTAATGAATTTCAAACTTAAATGTCAGTTATTCCTAAGATTTTCCAGGCAATATATATTTGTGCAAACACCTGGCAAAATTCTAGATATAACATCTGGTAGGTGTGGGTGAAATTCATTAGACTAAATCTTCTAAGCATAGATGTTTGCCAAAGCTTTGATATGACAAGCACTTATTCCCGATGGCAGCCATTTATTCTTTGCCAGTTCATAAGTGCTTCCTTCTAGCAGAGATTGCATTTCCGCTGGCATTTGAAACACTGGCTACCACATCAGTATATATTAGAATACATGTGCAGAGAGATTACTATCAATCCAAAACAACCAAATGGGAGTTGCAGTTTGCAGAAGATTATTGAGCTAAAAGTCAGCAGTGTACTCATGGCTTTAGCGAGAAAGTTTTAGCAAGGGAAGGAAGTACGTGCACATGTCTGAAGGGCCACTTCTTGAGTATTTGATTAGGGACAAAAATAGGATTCCTAAAAAGTCTTTTTAATGGGAAAGATAGGAGTCAGGCTAGTTTGATAAAGAAATACTTCTGCTTTCTACTTTGGGGTCTCCCAATAAGCAACTGGAAAATGTTTTGCATTTTTCTTCAAGTGGACATGTAAGCAAATGGTTATCATGGAAGCTATTTGCAGATATGACTTAGGTGCTAGAAAGAAGAGTTGACAAGGAAATGATTTGCTTTAAAGTGATCCTAAACAATGAGTACAACATACCTGTTGTTAAGTTGCCTTTCTTTCTCAGTATATGTCTTGAAGAAATTGAGACTCTACTCGTAAAGTAATACATGCTGATATGATTCTTTATTTGGTAAGAGTAGTGTAATGAAATCTGTAGCAGATGGGAACAAAGAAAGTATACATATACATACATACATATATATATGTACACATAAACACACATACATTCTAATGTTAAACCATAAAAAAAACTTCTATGACTAGCCAAATGATAACAATAATTAAACTTCAGGATGTATGCCATCAATGACCAAGTTTGAGTCAGTCATGTATTATTCCTAAATTTACTCTGAAAGCATATAAAACCAATTTGTCTCAATTCTTATAAAATTTTCATATTTGTGTATACTCACCAAATAATTCCAGTAAAAGAGTTCTTTTTGGCTCTATGTGATTTATTCAGTTACTTAAAAAAGTCTTTACAAAAAAATTTGTAATATTTTTACATATATGCACGTTTTGTTTTGATCCAAAGTCTACAGTTATGTTAAAGGTAAAGGATAAAGTATTTCATGTGTGGGACAATGTTGGATTTTGAATTCAAATGATGCCTGCTGTTGTCACTAGATATGCAATAGCTAGTTAAATAAGATTTGGCTTGACACAAAATGAAGTACAATGTATTAAAAATTATCTTACAGTCACTAGGGAGATTTTGTTTGTATCCAATGCCAGCCATGTCAGTAAAACAACTATCAACTTAGTAAAAATGCCATTCAAATTTGATGTCTGTCCCAAATTATCTAACAGATTTAATTCAACCAAGTAGAATTTAATTACATATTGATAATGTACAGATTAAAATTCTCACAAATTAACACAAGCATATAAATTTGCTACAATGGTGAAAATCAGGAAGATCCTAGAAATTCATATTTAAACTCTAATACTGGAAGAAATAATTTATCAAACCTTATTTTCACACTGGCCTGGTTGACTTTACCTAGAAATAGCTATTTCATGTACCCAACTCTTAAGAATCTGCAGAAGTTGTAGAGAGCCACTCAAGGGTTTTTGAGCACCAAAGGTCATGTGGTTATTGCATTAGTTACAAAGTTAAAGAAGCACTTTCACAAAGGTCAGGATTTTGTTTAGTGGAGAATTTCATTTGATGAATAATAGATGTTGGTCATTCTTCATTATGAACTCAGAGCAATTTCAAATTTCTATCACCGTTTCCAATGAGTAGCATATTCTGGAATACATTCTACAGAAAAAAATATAATAAATAGTCTTAGATTAAGGGTTCTAATACTAGACACTAGAGCATCTCAAAAAAAAAAAAAAAAGATCCTAGAGAAATGTAATATGGATATGGCAGAGTGAGAAACCTATTTATCTGTATTTGGTTATCTCTCTCTCTCTCTCTCTCTCTCTCTCTCTCTCACACTCTCTCTCTCTCTCTATATGTATATATATAAAATATATATTTATTATTATACTTTAAGTTTTAGGGTACATGTGCACAATGTGCAGGTTAGTTACATATGTATACATGTGCCATGCTGGTGTGCTGCACCTGTTAACTCGTCATTTAGCATTAGTTATATCTCCTAATGCTATCCCTCCCCCCTCCCTATATATATATTTTTTTAATTACTGAGAATTCAAATGTGAAGTATCCCCCAAAAGAGAAAGTAACTCACATCATTTATATACCGTTTTTCAATACTTTATTGACCAAAAGTAGTTTTCAATTTCTGTCTTCATTATCTCAAACTCCCTGCACTACAAAATTAAAACTAATTGTCAGATAGTGGGAAATTTGAAATACTTCTGAGTTCAAGAGGTCTCCCTCTAATCCTTCTTCAGTTGGAAGGTACATATTACCAGAGGTTGCTCTTTCATTTGATAAATTACTTATGCCATGGGGTTGTGACTTCCTTGACTCTTGCTAATTATGTTTTATATAATTAATGTTCTATTATATAATCAGTTTATTATATAACAACTCTAGCACCTTTCAGCATATAAATTTGCCTCCAATAGTTCCAAGAAAAATAAAGATATGTGATTTGAACTGTATCAATTTATTACCTCCGTAGCTAACATTCTTCGTCTATTGCCTCCCTCTTTTCTCTTCCAGCCTCAGATGAAGAAATTTTTAATTTCCCATTCAAGACTCAGACCTCCACCTGCATTTTGACTTAGTTTCCCATCAGTTTTCTTTCATTTGTGAGGTATCCCTATCTTCCCAGTTTTTGACATCTCATTCTGTATTTGCCCCTTTCTCCAACCTTATAAATAATCTGATATTGTTTTTACTTTAAATGATAACAGTAAGCAAAGTAAGAACCATCACCATCACCATTAAAAAGAACAACAACAATGACAAAATTTCAACCCTTATCCTGACCCTTTTTCTGACCTTCCATCCAAGGTCTAATCTTTCTATCTCCATTTTTCTCATTGTCTGGTTAATTTTGAACCTATTAATATCTGGCTTATATCTCTTTGACTTTACTGAGACTTTGCCGCATTTAACTTAGAGAAACTATTTTGCATTCTTTTCTTGAGGATACTAATTCAATTCCATAACTTCAACTATCCCCTCTATGATGATAATTACAAAATCTTAATCTTCAAAGCCAAACCTACACAGCCAACTATTTGTGACTATCTCCAACTGGATGATCTAAAAGTACTCAAAAATAATACATTTACATGACTGAATTCATCTTCTTTTGTATCAAACTTGCTTCCCTACCTGAAATGTCTATGTTGGTCCACAGCCTCATTTTTTACTCAGTATACCAGTTAAAAAACTGAGCCTTAGACTAAACAATTTATTTCCTCTTACATCCTACATCAAATTAGCGTTCAAATCTTGAAAATATTACATCTTTAGCACATCTCAAACCACACTTTTCCCATCAGTCTTATATATTGATGCCCAAGTTGTCTTTCTAAAATGTTCGTATCTCTTCAGGTTACTCTCGCCTTGGAACCATTCAGTAACTCCTCTACCTACTAGAAAAAGCACACAAAGTATGCTATTTATGATGTTCTCTACTCTTATGTACCCCAGTACATTATTCTCTTTTCATTTAGGGTTCCTGCACCCAATGCACACATCCATTTTTTTAAATACTGAGTACAGATTATTTTAATACTCACTTTAAAACCCATCAATATTACAAGGTGTAATAAAATGGAACTCTTGAGTGCAATAGACCCACATTTTAACATAATTATGCATCTTAATAGTTGTCAAATTTGGTAAAGTTTTCTGACAGTATAAGAATCTGTTTTTTTCTCTGCAAAATAAGAATATTAGTATTCCATAATATAGTTGTTTGGAGGAGTAAATGGGACAATGTATGTACAGTATTTATCAGGATAGCTGGTGTCATTTAACAAATGCTAGTTCTCTACCTTTCTCAATACAGGCATACCTTATTTTATTTGCTTCACAGATACTGCATGTTTTTCAAATTGAAGGTTTGTGGCAACCCTGCATTGAGCAAGTCTATCAGCGCCATTTTTTCCAATAGCATGTGCTCATTTTGTGCCTCTATGTCAAATTTTAGTAATTCTTATAATATTTCAAAACTTTTAGTACTATTAAATCTTCTATGGTGATCTGTGATCAGTGATCTTTGATGATACCAATGTAATTGTTTTGCCACAAACTGCACCCAGATAAAATGATGAACTTGATCAATAAATGTGTGTGTTCTGACTGCTACACTGGCTAACCACCCTGTTTCTTTCCCTCTACTCAAGCCTCCTTATTCCCTGAGACATAACAATATTGAAATTCAGCCAAGTAATAACCCTAAATGACCTGTAAGTGTTTAAGTGAAAGGAAGAGCCCCACATATCTCCCTTTAAATCAAAAGCTAGAAATAATTAAGCTTAGTGAGGAAAACATGTTGAAAACTGAAATGGGAGGTGGAAATCTAGATCTGTTGTGTCAAAGAGTTAGCCAAGTTGTGAATGCCAAAAAAAAGTTCTTGAAGGAAATTAAAAGTGTGAGTTCAGAGAACACATGAATGATAAAAAAGCAAAACAGCCTTATTGCTGATATAGAGAAAGTTTATGTAGTCTGCATAGATCAAGCCAGTTACAACATTCCCTTATGGCAGAGCCTAATCCAGAGCAAGGCTCTAATGTTCTTCAATTCTTTGAAGGCAGAGAGAGGTGAGGAAGCTGCAGAAGAAATGATTGAAGCTAACAGAGGTTGGTTCATGAGGTTTAAGGAAAGAAGCCACCTCCATAACATAAAAGTGCAATTCGAAACACCATGTGCTGATGCAGAAGCTTCACCAAGTTATCCAGAAGATCTAGTTAATATCACTGATGAAGACAAAACAGTCTACTATTGAAAGAAGATGCCATCTAGGGCTTTCATAGTTAGAGAGGAGAAGTCAATGCCTAGCTTCAAAGGACAGGCTGACTCTCTTATGAGATGTTAAGGCAGCTGGTGACTTGAAGTTGAAAACAATGCTCATTTACCATTCCAAAATGGTGAATCCTAGAGGCCTTAAGAATTATGCTAAATCTACTCTGTGTTTGCTCTATACATGCAAACACAAAGCCTGTATAACACCACATCTGCTTACAGCATGGTTTACTGAATATTTTAAGTCAACCGTTGAGACCCACTGCTCAGAAAAAAAAAGATAAATCACTTTTTAAATATTACTGCACATTGGCAATGCACTTGGTCACCCAAGAGCTCTGATGGCGATATACAAGAAGATTGAAGTTGTCGTCATGCCTACTAAAACAGTATCCATTCTGCAGTCCATGGATCAAGAAGTAATTGCACCTTTCAAGTCTTATTATTTAAGAAATACATTCCCAAGAGCTAAAGATTGCATAGATAGTGATTCTTCTGATGGATCTGGGTGATGTAAATTGAAAACCATTTGGAAAGAATTCACCATTCTAGATCTCATTAAAAACATTTGTGATTAATGGGAGGAGGTCAAATTTTCAACATTAACAGGAATTTGAACAAAGTTGATTTCATCTCTCATGATTGACTTTGAGTAGTTCAAGATGTTACTGGAGGAAATAACTGCAGGTAATAGCAGTGGAAATAGCAGGTAAGGTAGAATTAGAAGTGGAGCCCAACGATTTGACTGAATTGCTACAATCTCATGATAAAACATGAATGGGCGAGATGTTGCTGTATGTGACTGAACAAAGCAAGTGGTTTGTTGAGATGAATCTACTTCTAGTGAAGAAGATACTGTGCACATTGCTGAAATGAAAACAAAATATTTAGAATATTGCTTACATAAACTTAGTTGATAAAGCAGTGGCAGGATTTGAGAGGATTGACTTCAATTTTGAAGGAAGTTCTACTGCAGGTAAAATGCTATTCAACAGCATCACTTACTACAGAGAAATCTCTCATAAGCGGAAGAGTCCATTGATATGGCAAACTGCATTGTAGTCTTACTTTAAGAAATTGCCACAGCCACTTCAACCTTTAGCAACACCACCTTAATGAGTTAGCAGCCATCAATCTTGAGGCAAGATTTTCCACAGGCAAAAAGATTACAACTTGCTGAAGTCTCAGATGTTCATTAGCATTTTTAGCAGTCTTTTAAAATTAAGGTATGTAAATTGTTTTTAAAGACCTGATGTTATTGCATACTCAATAGACCACAGGATAGTGTAAATATAACTTTTGTATGCATTGGGAAACCAAAATATTAATATCGCTTGCATTACTGTGATAGTAACTTTATTGAGGTGGTTAGGAACTGAACCAGCAATATCTCCAAGATATGCTGGTAGTGACCTTTCTCTAAAGGTTAAGGTTATGGACTATTAAAACAGGTTCAGCTCTCGGTTCTTCCTGTATGATCTCAACCAAGTGACTTAAGTTTTCTGCACTTCAGTTTCTTCAGCTGCAAAGGGGGATGGTAAAACTACTTCAGGGGACTGTTTTGAGAGTTAAATGACTTAATAAAAGTAAAACCCATAGATCTGTGCTTAACAAATAAAAAGCAGTATATAAAAATTGGCTACGTTCTTATAAGAGTATGACACTTTGTTTTTCTTTCAATTACAGTTACTTATGCAAATATTTATTTTCACCATTACTAGCATGCATTTGGTATAACTTAATGTAAACTAATGCAACATAAATTAGTTTGATCAGTAAATCCAAAGCATTCTAAGAATATAGAAAATATTAATTAGTAATAATTTTCATTTTTTCTTTGAGTGTTGTTTTTTCTCTTATTCTTCTTTGTTTAGTTATTAAGACAATGAAATAGAATTCAGCCAAAGGAAAAGTTAGCTAGAGAAATGTTGGTAAGAAGCAAGATCTTGCTGACAAAAGGAAAATTACTCTCTCGTGTAATTAATTGAGTGGGTTCAGGGGCCTAGCCAGAGTCAAAGAACAGGATAAAGCTGTCAGGGAGGCTTTGAAGATCAAATTAGCCTGGAAAGGAAGAGAAAAAAAAAAAGAAAAAAAGAAAAGAAACTCCTCAGCAAAGTCGATAGGAATAAAGTTCAAGATGAATAAAGCTAAAAATTATAAATTACATAAGGTGTGTGTGTGTGTGTGTGTGTGTGTGTGTGTAGACTGTCTGATGTAACTAGGCTCTCATGACTTCCTTTGGAGTTTTCCTATTAATTACAAATTTTCAGACATTGATATATGTCATCTGAAAATTCGTACCAATGGTCGGCATTGTAATACTTGGAACCTAGTTAAAGTATGTAAAATAATTCTCACTGATTAGTTACACAGCTACATAAAGGAATTTTCAAAGTTATAAATGAATATATTCCAAATGATGAAATATGCCATATGTATTCACTTCCCAAGGTGTATTTTTGACTCTTGCTCCTGCCCTATTTGTGGCTGACTTGGCTATAAAAGAAGACTGAGAAGGCTTATGTGGCCTGTGGTAGGCTAACTACTAGGACTGCTGGTGTGGACAGAAATGAGCCATGGAGCAGTGTGCCTTCTCCTCGTTGAAGATAACTGCTTTCTCTTGCTTATACTCACACAAAAAAGATGGTCTTAAAAAAAAACAACAACAACAACAAAAAAAAAACCTCATATATAGCTTATAATCCAAGTTAATATCACTTTAAATTATTTTTCATATTATTAAATATTACAAGTTCCTAATTGCTAAAATACACAAATGCCCACACATTGAATGAAAGGCTGCTGTCAAATATTCAATAGAGAAAAGTCCTACTGAGATAAGTTCAGCAGAGAATGTACTAGTTCAGTTTCTGGAAGGCACCCCATTGATAGAGTTTAAAGGAGTCACAGAGCACAGATCAAGATTTAGTAGCACACATATTGAAAATTTAGCCATCAGATGAAATCTAGCTACAGCACACACCTACCTTCTTAATCTGCAGGCAGGATTTTAGATTGAAAATGAATCGTACAACTAACTGTTCAAAAAATAATTTTGTAATATTGTGACTGATTAAAAAGAATAAGGTTTAGAAAAATTGTCAACTAAAATCTAAACTGATTTTTCTTTTGGAGTTTTTTGTTACTTTAATTAATCATCACGAAATTAAATTTAACAAAGTTGGCTCAAGAAGAGAATATGTTGGTGGAGGTTCTAGTGTATTCCATATTAGAATAATTCTGATAGTAATTGCTAAAAACAAAAAGGAAATATTCAGGCTGAGACTTTTCAGGTATAGACTTCCAAGCTGAAGGCAGGATCTCATTCCAGTTTTTCTACACCAAGTTGCCTAGGACTGGGGAGCTCACAACATAAATATAGCTTTTGTGCCACAGGGAAGGAGGAATGCAGTTATTGAGAAAGCAGCATCTTGCGTAAGCCAAGTTTCTCACTGGACCTAGTGAAAACATGGGACATAAAGATTTCACTGTAGAATCCGTTCAATTTTCAATACAGCAAGTATGTTTTATCACTTACTATGTACAAGGCAAGTGATACAATAACAAACAAGCAGATTCCCAGCTGTCAAGGCTTTTGACTCTCACACAATTTCTATTCATAGTAAAAAGAAAAAGAAAGTCAAAAATAAGGCATAATTTTGGGATTCATCCACTGTATTTAAAATACATTTTGCAGAAAACAAATATTGGCCAGTAAATGTTCATGGTTTGGCCATTGGCCCTGGCAATCTAAACAACTCTAGGAAGTAAGAAATCAGAGAAAGGAAGCATATAGTTAACCAGGACACATTTAAGAAGTGGGAAATCATTTGAAGATTGCTTTGTTTTGTGAAAATAGCAGAAGTAAAGAGAAATTATCTGCTCTTTGTTTTGTACTTCTGAATGTAAATGGGATGTTGAAGAGCACAACAAAGATGGACCACAATAAACTATGCCTCCTGGTGTTTATGTCTTTGTATTGTCTCTTCTCCCTCAATCTAAACTGGGCGGGTGACTGGTGTTAACTAATCGAAAATGGAGACAGTAACATTTTCCATTCTGGGCTATGCCCTAAGAAGGCCTGACAGCTTTTACTTTCACATTTTGGGAGCCTTGAATTACCATATAAGGAGTCTGGCTACCCTGAGAAAAGACCACTTGAAAAGAGTCCCTGAGACTATATTGAGAGAGAGATTGGCCCTATCACCCAAGCATTCTAGATGAAAGTCCACAGGACTTTACCCCCAGCTAACATCTGCATGCCACCCCATAAAGTCCCAAGTAAGAACAGCAGAACAATCCTGATGGGCCCAGTAAACCCACAGAACTGTGAGAGATAATATTATTGCTTTAAAATATGAAGTTTTAGGTTTGTATCTTTTTCAGTGATATATAACAGAACAATAACATCTAGTTATTGAGAGAAAGAGTTATTTTATTGATAGAGTTATTGATAGAAAGAGTCTGAATAGTGACAAGCTGATTAAAAATAATCTTTATTTATGTATTCTATTTCTACTGAGCCACTTTCAAATGGAATTAAAGATAGTTTACTAAAGGAAATGCATATAAGCAATAAATAAATACATCATTAGAAGGATAAAAAAGACAAAATTTATTTAGAAGTATGTATGTTTTGTCTTTTTATTTGTATTTGTATTTTTTGCAGTTGAACCATATATTCTTATGTTAATTTATGAATAAAATCAAAGAAGATTTAAATAAATGAAGAGATATTTCATGTCCATGGATAGGAAGACTCAAAATTGTTAGGATGTCAGTACTTCCCACCTTGATGTATAGATACAACACATTGTCAACCAAAATCCCAGCAAATTATTTTGTGAATATCTATAAATTTATTCAAACGTTCATATGGAGAAGCAAAAGACCCATAATAACCAACACAGTATTGAAAGAGAACAAAGTTGGAAGGCTGACAATACCCAACTTGAAAACTTACTATATAAAGCTAAAATAATCAAGACAGTGTGGTATTGGCAATCAATGGAACAGAATAGAAAGCCCTGAAATAGGCCCACACACATGTGGTCAACTGATATTTGACACAGGAGCAAAGGCACTATAATGAAGCTAATGTAATCTTTTTTAACAAATAGTGCTGGAACAACTGTACAACTACATGCCAAAGTAGGAATCTAGACATAGGCTTTATACTCTTCATAAAAAAAATTCAAAATGAATCATAGACCTCACTGTAAAGTATAAAACTATAAAACTCTTAGAAAATAACATAGAAAGAGGCCTTGATGACCTTGAGTATAGTGATGACTTTTTAGGTACAACACCAAAGGTACAATTCATGAAAAAAAATTGATATGCTGGACCTCGTTAAAATAAAATATTTTGCCGTGTAAAATATGTCAAGAGAATAGAAGACAATCCGTAGACTGGGAGAAAATATTTGCAAAAGACACAGCCGATAAAAGACTGTTACCTAAAATATACAAAGAACTCTTTAAATGCACCAAGAAGAAAACAATCTAATTAAAAAATTAAGACTTAACAGGAAATATGCAGATGACAAATAAGCATATGAAAACATGCTTCACATTAAATGCCATTAGGAAATTGCAAATTAAAACAACAATGAGATACCATTATACACCTATTAGAGTGGCGAATATCCAGAACACCAAATACACCAAATACTGGCAAGCATGTGGAGTAATGACCTTTCTTTTATCATCGGTGGGAATGGAAAGTGGTACAGCTACCCTGGAACACAGTCTGGCAATTTCTTACAAAACTAAATTACTTTTACTATATGATCCAGCAATCACACACCTTGGTATTTACACAAAAGAGTTGAAAACTTACATTCACACAAAAACCTGCACACCAAAAATTTATAGCAGTTTTGCTCATAATTGCCAAAAGTCAGAAGCAACCAAGATGTCCTTCAGTAGGTAAATAGATTTTTTAACAAAATACAAAATACTGTGTGTGGTGAATCCAGATAATGGATTTATTCAGTGCTAAACAAAATGGGCTATCAAGCTATAAAAAGACATGGAGGAATCTTAAATGTGTATTAAAAAGTGAACGAAGCCAATTTAGAGGGGCTGCATGATTCCACCTATATAATATGGGAAAGCCAAAACTATGGAGACGGTAAAAAAGTTAGTAACTGCCAGGGGTTGGGAGAGGGAAGGCATGACTAGGAGGAACACAGAGGATTTTTAGGGCAATGAAAATATTCTGTATAATCTTATAACAATAGATATATGTCATTACACATTTATCCAAACCCATAGAATGTACAACACCAAGAGTGAAACCTAATGTAAACTATAGACATTGGGTGATTATGACATATCATTGTAGGTTCATCAATTGAACAAATGTATCACTCCAGAGGGGAATATTGATAATGGAAAGGTATGCATGTGGGGGCAGGGGGCAGGGAGCATATGGGACATCTTTGTACCTTCCTCTCAATTCTGCTGTGAACCTTAAACTGCTCTAAAAAAAATAAAGTGTTAAAAAAAGTACCTATAGGAAGCAAATTTCGTGTAAAAAAGGAGGGGAGATATCACACACAGACACATAAATATATATATCATATATTTAGAGAAAGAGAGAGAAGACTTTTTTTTAAAGAGACTGGAATGATCAAACAAATTCATAAGATTGATTATGTAAAAAAGGAAGCTTTGAAACATGGCAGAAAGTATACGGGGTAAAAATAAAACAGGATGAAAGGAATTGGGGCTAAGAATGAGTGAAAGTGAGGAGTGCAAGAAATAATTCTCCGAGCATTCCCTTTTAGCATGAGAATTCCTGAAACCACACTAATGTTTTACATATTAAACAATAGCCATCACCACCACAATAGTAATAATATGTCAACAATAATATAACCACATTGAAGGGGTGGAAAAAGAGCCAAAACTAACTCAAGTAAAGCTGAAGAACATATTTTGAACATGTACTCTTAGGCTACTAACAGAGAGAAATGTAAGAAAATATTGAACTCTAGTCAGTAAGTTTGACTTTGCAGTGGGAATGGTTGGCAGTTTCAGTGAATTGAACAAACAAATAAATATTTTGAGGATAATTGGAGTCAGGTTTCTTACTCTTAGAAATATGGAAAGAAGGAGGGCTAGAATAAATTCTCTGGTATTGGGTTAGAATTGATGGTACTGACATGTACTCATGGCAAAGAGAGAAAAAGAAAGAAGAAAGAAAGAAAAAGAAAGAAGAAAGAAAAGAAAGAAAGAGAAAGAAAGAAAGAAAGAAAGGAAAGAAAGGAAGAAAGAGAAGAGAGAAAGAAGGAAGGAAGGAAAGGAAGGAAGGAAGGAGAGGAGGGAGGGATTAGATATATAGATAGATGAAGTAGAAATAATAGATATAACTATATTGCACAAACACATGCACACACACTCTCAGAGGCACACATAGAGAATGAGTGAGAGGGAGGCAGGAAGGGAGGGAGAGAGGAAAAGAGAACAAGAGTGAGCAAGACAGGGAAACCAGTATAGAATTGCTAGCTCCCTCTGTTGAGAGATCCTGAAATCAATGCCTCTCCAGTAACAATGAACCAACCATATCTTGGTGTCTAAATTAAAGGATCCAAGACTTCTTGGAAAAATGGCTGATTCCAGGCTGGCTCAGAAAAGAAAGTACAATATGGATCTGGAATATCCTGTGCCTTAATATACGGATGTAATCAAAAAATGACAGAGACATGTCAAAAGGCCTTAGGGGCTGCTTGAAGGGGATGCCACTGGCCAAAGCTGGGATACATTGAACTTCAAAACAGTGATAATAATGGATTATAACTCATTAAGGAAAATAAAAATCCATGAGTCCATACTGATATAAGTGAATGAAAAAATGGGGGGAAAAGAAAAGAAAACCTCTTCCTTACAGTAGAATGCTGACTAATAAATTTAGAAGAAATGATAGTTGAAGAAATCACCATTTAACTTTCACTATAGTAATAATTATTAACAGACACAAACTAGTGAGTGAAAGCTTGTTAAGGAATAAGAGATTTATGTATTTCAAAGTATCTCTCTACAAAACACGTATTACTTACAAAGAGAAAAGTAATAACTTTATAGTGGAGAAATTTGGCAGGCAAATGATTAATCAAAATTAACATGTCCAATAATGGCTCAAACTGATGTAATGTGCCTCCTTATGTAATGCACTGAGAAAAATACAACATCACTTAAGTATTACTCCAGATGGGCATATGACAATCTGACAGTGATGAAATATCAAACATGCTCAAATTGAGAGACACTTATAAAATAACTGCTCTATACTATTCAGATATGTCAAGGTCGAGAAAGTTAAAGAAAATTTGTGGAACTGCTCCATATTAAAAGGGAGTAAAAGGCTGAATAAGTAAATCTAATGAATAATATTGAATCAGACAGGATTTTTAAAATAAGAGACATTATTGGGAAAATTGGAAAAATTTGAATAACATCTCTAGATTAGATGATACTATTGCACGAATGTTAACTTTCTAATTTTGAAAGTTAAAATTAGTATAGCATTATAGGTAGGATAATATATTTATCCCTAAGAAATATACTTTGAAATACTTAGGATTCAAGGGGCATCATGTGAGCTTTCAAACTTCAAACAATATGAAGAATGTTAATGTCAATAAGCCTATCTTGAAAAAATAAGTTGCTAAAAATTGGAATGTTATTAAAAACATTTACTTTGGAATTAGTTTTCTCTTATAAATTAAAAAATAAGCAAACAAAAGATACTTTATAGGAGGTTCAGGAAAATATAAATGTCTTTCTTTGTAATATCACTTAAATTGAAAAATAATTTATGAAAAATATATACATTTTAAAAAGTTTTACCAATGTCCAATTCTTAGGAAGCATGAGATTAATATAGGTTATATATTCACCTTTTTCAATAGGGCCAATAACATCTATTTGATACTTACATTAGTATCTTTTCTCTGCTTCTTCAGGCAATGCCTTTCTGTTATGTTAACTGAGATTTTCTCATTAAGAATAAATTTAAACTTCAAGAAGCTGTGTTCACAGAGTAAAATCTTACAGCATAAGAAATAATTTGCTAAGTGGTAAATGAAAGGTGGAAGATGGCTGTCATCATATACGACAGTGGAAAAGTAATTTTTTTTCCTGACCAATTAGCAAAACTTCATAAAATTAACCATGTAAATTTATGTCTTTATTCATTTATTTAACAAATATTTATTGATTTGCTGTAAAATTAACCATGTAAGTTTCTGTATTTATTCATTCATGTAACAAATATTTATTAATTTGTTGTAAATTGAAACATGTTTTTGTACAAAAGAGAAGCACAACTCTCAGAGAGTCTCAAGATTTTTATGAAAAAGAGATCTTGCCAGGTGAACCAAGGAGGTCTATGGACCTGCTCCATGTTAAAGGTGACTAAAAAGACTAGACTATTAAATCCAATGCATCTAATGCAACCTGTTTCATTGATGGGTGCTGTGAATGATCACTATTACCACCACTATATTTTTAACATATTGGACATTCATATGAAAAAATAAGTTAAAGCCTCTCAAGCAGGGAAGTATTTCAGAATCTTTATCCTGAAGTTCGCAGTATATAAAAAATACTGCCCATGAGACTTTAATTAATTAATTCAGAATACTGTTGAAACAAGAAAGAAAGAATAAAGAAAAATTTTAAAAGTAGAAGACAGAAATTCATATATGCAGTGTATCAAGAATTGCCTTGGATGTCAGTATTGCCTGCACTTCTGAGTAAATGGGCAGGATTACAGGAGTGAGAATAGAATCTTGGGCCTGAGACCTAAGCCAGAAGAGTTGATTAACATATAGAAAAGCAAAAGCCATTTAGTTATATTGCTAATGCTGACTATGATTTCTGATCAGTTGCATCAAGTACAATGAATCTACAATAAATCATGTAGGTCAGAGGCTAAGCTGCTGTTATAAAGAGACCTTAAAAATGCAGTGTCTTCAATATGCTTTAAGTTTATTTCTCTCAGTGTTAGTTCAAAAAACTTAAAGTGGGAGAACAAGTAAATTCAAATATTTACTTTCAAATTTCAAAAAGAACTTAAATTCTGGAATCAGACTTAAGGACATAAAAAAGAAGAATGAAGACACCAAGTGAACATTTGTAAAGTTTGAAAATTCCTTTAGCTTCCATAATTATTTTGTATGACTTACTGAAATTTAGGCATCTTAAAATAACCCTTTTAAAATACTTTTTTAAAGTTCCACTTTAATTAAACTTATCACTATCTCCTAAATTCCAATTTTTTTTTTAATCTTGGCAAGGGGGAAAATAATCAAGCACTTCTACCTGGTAAATCAGCTCCAGTAAACGTAAAACCCCTGGTATCATTCAAATTGAGTTCACATTAACAAGTATTTTGATATGTATCATGCTGATCATGTAAATGTAGTTAGCTTTCTGGAAAAAAGGGAAAAAAAGAAACCACACAAATTGTAACTGATTAGATGTTACTGCAATCATACAGAGCTAGTCTTTTTTGAGGGGGAGGGGAGGGTTGCATATTATCTCTACATGAATATAAATGAGCTTCACTTTAATGAGAGATTATTTTGTCTTTATGAAAGAGAATGATTGAAATCCTAGAGAGGAGGTTTTATGTTTTATACTGCCAGTCTTCTGTTTGGGTAGAAATTATAATGACATAAGCATCATCTGCCTGGTCTCAAGTACACTGTTCAATTCAACAAAAATTGAACTCCTATTCTGAACATGATCTCATTGAGGTACCTCAGTTTTTGGCTAAAGGAAAAGAATGATGCAAGTATATTTAAGTTTCAAGTGAAACTAATTTTGCAGATTCAGATATAAAACCAAATAGGTTTTCTCCCCTTTATATGAAGCAACTATTCATACAGTTTCATGGACCCAGTATATGAATAAAAACAAAAGCTAACTTTCTTGTCATCTCCTGTTCCTCCCAAGATCAGTAGAGAGGAAAAGTGGAGGTTCCTGGACAAAGAGAGATGGTAGAATTTAATGATTTTTCTCACTCCAAGAAGATTAGGATTTACACAGACTGCTGGGAAGGGGTGGTGTGTATTGTCCTCAGAAAGTGGAATCTTTTCTTATCAGACCAAGGAAAAAATTCTATCAGTGGTCCTTAATATGCAGAAATAGCACAAGTGAGTATTTGTCTGGTTGTTCCTCTCTAACTCAGAGAGAATTCACCAACATGTCCCTGCCTGTCATGGCCCAGTTCTCTTATAAGGCCAGTGGGGTTGAATCTGACTCTTAATCAGGGTCCATACAAAGAGGGGGTAGACTATAATTACCAGGTATTTAGTATTCAGGCTGCCTAAGCGGAAATAGGGAGACCAGTTATTTCTGCCTAATTCTCAAGCAAATATAACCCACTAATCTTAAACAAAAAGAAATCATAGCCAAATATTTACCCTACACTATTATTACAAATATATTATTCATGTCTAAATACAAGCAATAGTAGTATAAGGAGTTTTCACTAATCAACTTTATATCTGAGGCACACAGGTTTTAATTATTAGGGGAATGACTTGAAAACCACATATAAAAATTTCATTAGAAAATGTCATTTGCCTGGAAGGTCCTAAGTTCCGGAGGAAGTAATGGTCCCAGAGACCCCTTACTAGAACTTAACTGAAATTAATTAAAAAATTACTTTATATGTTATCTCTATATTAAGAATTCTTATGTTAAATGAGCTACAAATATGAAAACCTTTATTAGGTAAACCTTTATTAGGTAAAATATTTACAAAAATATGATTATGCTACTGAAAATTTTCAGTTTTGTAATTTGACTTAATGTACATCTTAAATTAAAAAGTTGATGAAATTGAAAAGGTAGAAAAAGCATATGCTTGTCTGCCATCCATCCAGACCCTTTCCATGAACAAACTACTACATATTTCCAGAGATATTGTGTGCATATCAAGCAAATGCATGCACAGATAGAAACATTCTTATATGCAGGTGGTAGCATGCTACATACAGACACATGAAATGCAGCATGAGCACTGCTTAATGCCTTGCTATTTTTGTCACTTAATCTGCTTATTATTCCATTTTAAGGACCTATCCAAATGTACTTCATCAGTCATATTGCTGAACATATAGGGTACTTTCCAAATTTTTGCCAGTTCAACACAGTGCTTCAATTAATAGTCTTAAATGAATAAAATTTTACTAACGTGTAATGAGTAATATTAGCATAAATTCCTGAAAGTAGAGTACTGTAATAAAGACTCTAAGGTCTTTTCAAGTATGAGGTCTTTTACTTGGGGTTTAATTCGTGACAACTTATCCATGGCTATTGTAAAAATTTTTACACCCCCTCCAAATAAATTAGAGTACCTCTTTTTTCACAACACCACTGTATTAGTCAGTTTTCATGGTTGCTGATAAAGACATACCTGAGACTGGGTAATTTATAAAGAAAAAGAGGTTTAACGGTCTCACAGTTCCATGTGGCTGGGGAGGCCTCACAATCATGGTGGAAGGCAAAATCCACGTCTTACGGGGCAACAGAAAAGAGAGAATGAGAACCAAGTGAAAGGGATTTCCGTTTATAAAACCATCAATTATCATGAGACTTACTCACTACCATGAGAACAGTACGGGGGAAACTGTCCCTCTGATCCAGTTATCTCCCACAAGGTCCCTCCAACAATATGTGGAAATTATGGGAGCTACAATTCAAGATGAGATTTGGGTGGGGACACAGCCAAATCATATCACCCATCAACACAATTTTGTTAACAAACATTTAGACCTTTGCCAAACAGAGAAGTGAAAATGGGATAGTCTTAAAATTTTCATGTTCATTTCTTTGAATAAGAGCAAAGTTGCATATGTGAAAATATATTGAAGTTATTTTTAATACTTTTCTGTAAACCATTTCTAGTATTTTCCAGGTTTTTACTGTACCATTGTTATTCTTATTGTCTTTTAATATATGGGGAAATTAGCCCCTTTGTCTGTAATGTGACTTGCAAATATTTATACCTCCATTTTTTGATTTGATTTTAACCTTGCTTTTATTGAATCTTTAATATAGCTATTATTACTGAATGTAATATAATTAAAATTTCAATTCTTTTTTGCTTTATGGCTTCAGGATATGTGTCATATAGAAAGACCATCCCTAGTCAGGAGATTTCTTTTTAATACCTTGCCATGGCTGCTTCTGCTACTTTTATATTTTCATTTACTTTTACATTTTTATTTCCAGTGATTGAGTCAAAATTAATTTTGATGTAAGAGGTATGGAAGCAACTCTATAATTTTGGATTAGTTATCCAGTTGTTATATTCATCAATTATTAATAAACTATCTTTCTGAAATATCCTTACCATCTTGACTGTTATTAAACCTCTGTATGTACAGTGCATAGATATGTTTCTGGATTCACTAATCTCCTCCACTGATCATCTGATGGCTACTAGCAAACTAGGCAATGATTACTGTTAGGATTCTGTAACGCAAAGTGATTTATAAACCAATACTTTATTTTGGGTAAACAAAAAAGAATAAATATAATATTGTATTTGGCAAAATGAAAACTGTGTTACTAGTTGCTTTAGGGGCACTAAGTCAAAATTTGTTTTCATATAAGATGTGAAGTTTAAAGATGATGCTTATGATCATTTGGGATCTAATGTTCCTTGTTTCTATAATAGTTAATCAAAATATTTGGAGGCTGTTGCTTAGAAATAACCTTAATTTTATCTATAAAAGAGAGTGTCTATTGAACCTCAGTTATATTGAGACCAGTTTTGGTTCTGTCCCACATCTGGAAGAAGCATCACTTGTCTTTTCTTCTTACTCTTTTATTTTGCACCTCAGGAAAGAAAAGAAAAATGAAGAAACAAGCTTTGCTGGAAATAGCTCTATCCTCCTAGTACTGATAGGGTAGGAAGAAAACTGAAGTAGACATTTGTGCTGTGAATTATCCCTTCTCTTGGCAGGAAAGAAAGAAGTCTCTGGGGGATTATGAGAACATAGATAAAGGTGCCTGAAGCAGAGTTAAAGAAGAAGAAAAACAAGTGCCAAATCTGAGTGCCAGAGACAGTCATTTTGGTGAGGGAGGTTAAGCCCTGTGATGTGGAAAACTAGCAGAAAATAACTGCATATTGATGAAGGAGGTGACAGTCAGTAAAAGAGAAAAAATAAAATAATTATTTTACTAGGAAGTGGAAAACATTTGTAAGCTGATGTGTAAATTTATCTGAAATACTGTGGTAACATACTTCTACTGAGAGTGGGGTGTGTGTGTATCTGTAGGAAGACCTGGAGTACAAGGTGGAAGGTGGCTTCCTGTGGCCTCAGTTGTCCAATATGGCATCAGTGTTCCATGCCGCAAGTAAACTTGTCCATAAAGTTCACCACTCTGTGCTGGGCATGGTGGCTCACGCCTGTAATCCCAGCACTTTAGGATGCCAAGGAGGGAGAATCCCTTGAATTCAGGAGTTTGAGACCAGCCTGGACAACATGGTCAAACCTTGTCTCTATAAAAAATAGAAAAATTAGCCTGGTGTGGTGTTGCGTGCCTGTGGTCCCAGCTACTCAGGAGGCTGAGGTGGGAGGATTGCTTGAACCTAGGAGGTCGAGGCTGCAGTGAGCCATGATTGCGTCACTGCACTCCAGCCTGGGCAACCAAAGGAATTGCTGTCTCAATGAGATAATTGTTTTATAAATTTTTAAGACCTTCCTGTCTAAGGGTTTTGCAAATCAAAAATATTTTGGATTTAGCAGCCAGTTCATTATTTGTATGTATGTGAATTCTACTATTCCAATGAAAAACAAGGAGTATCATCATATACAGCTACAATATCTACTAATGTTTACAGTAAAACTAAATATATATAGGGCTTGAAATAGATAAGCATGGTCACATTCATTCACCTTGAATGATATCAATATTTAGAGGGAAAAAGCATTTATTAAGTCACTCAAGGACGGGATAAGACTTCTCCAAACGACTACACATTAGAGGTTTTTTAGGGTAATTCTTATCGGAAAGTTCTGAATGTCTCTCTCTCTCTCTCCTTCTCATATTTCAGGTTCAATAAAAAAATACTTAAAAAGAATGCAAAGAAAGGAGGGACTGAGAAAGTCAAAATTAGCCAGTAAATGTGATTGATTGAGGCTTATGTACTTTTATAAAAGTATTTAATATCAAGACTGAAACAGGTATCACTAATAAAAATAGCAAATAAGTTCATTCTATCCCATGGCTAGTTTCACCATGCTGTTGAATTCAGTCTATTTCCTGTTATTTATCAGCTACTTCTAAAGAATAGATGTCAACTAGTTTGCCCTAGGCTTACATTTTTTTAAATATAAAAAGTGTTTGTTTCCATAAAATAAAACGTTGCAAGTGCAAAATTCCACCATCAAATATGTGCCTCAGAATCAACTAATTAAGCTTTGTAAAAATGTACCAAATTGGGAAATCAATCCTCTCTTATCTGCACACAGAACATAACTCTAGAGAGCTGGTGTTGAGCCCAAGATTCTGTATTTGTATATGCTTTACAGGTAATTCTGATGGGAACATCCAATTAAGAACATATCCATGAGGTATGCCAAGGGACCACCTATAAAAATATGGAAATCTGGCCCAGATCAGGTGAGTTAGTGCATAGCTGCACAATGCGCCCCATTTATTCCTTGTTTTAAAATCTGAGTTGTTCCATAATCGTTTTATACTTGTGATAAATGATTATTTCAGAATCCTGAACTCAGCTGAACATTACTAATCTGTTTTCGTGTGAATGGCATATATGTCAATATGCATTGTAAACTGCAAAGTGATTTATAAATGTTGTGGTTGTTATTCCATTACAAACAACTGTGGTGTACAATCTGAGGAGGCAGGACTAATGTCTGAAAATGTGTGATGTCAGACTTCCCGCACCCAGCTCATGTAGAATTAGGATGTTATTTGGAATAGGAAATATGGAGAAAGCAATCACTTCACAATGCTTCACATTTTGCTATAACATTAAAGATGCATTTTTAATGTTGCCTGGTAGTAAATACTCAAAAAGCCACACAGAACTTGGAGAAAGTAGTGATCTTGTGTCATAATAGAAGGAATGCCACTTTCTAGTGGTGGACATTGGCTGTTTAAAAAGTAGAATAAATTCTTACCAAAGCCTCTGGCATGAAATTGTAGAAGATGAAGAATATCTCTATGTGTACTATTTGCACAAATAATTTAAAATGAATACGTAAGCAGATCCATCAATGAGATAGAGACGGGTCAATCTGAGCATGACGATGAGGTAAGGGACACAACAATGGTGATTAGGAAGATTTTCTAGATAGTAAGTGGTCAATGTGGATGAAGACTGTTACAGCTTCTGTTTCACTAATTCTATAAAACTTAGCCACATTGTTTGCTGAGAGAAATGCAGCTGCAAAACATTTATAATACTTTTCTTTTAAAAAAGGTGAAATGAAGCTGGGTATGGTGGCTCACGCCTGTAATCCCAGCACTTCGGGAGGTCAGGGTGGGCGGATTGATCACCTGAGGTCAGGAGTTCGAGACCAGCTGGGCCACCGTGGTGAAACCCCATCTCTACTAAAAATACAAAAAAAGTAGCCAGGCATGGTGGTGGATGCCTGTAATCCCAGCTACTTGGGAGGCTAAGGCAGGAGAATCGCTTGAACTTGTGAGGCAGAAGTTGCAGTGAGGCAAGATTGCGCCGTTGCACTCCAGCATGGGCAACCAGAGTGAAACTCCGTCTCAAAAAATAAAATAAATAAAATAAAAAAGGTGAAATGACCTAATGTTCAGCAAATATGAAAGATACAATGAAATGTCTGTGGTTACTGCTAGATTTCCCATTTAATCCCATGTCTCTTACTATTTTAATTTGAATCCATAACTGTATCTCTGGCACATGGTGATAACTGATAATTGTGGCCCAGTGTTCTTTAGGAAACGCTAAGTTATGGTGAATATTCCAAAATGCAACTAAGACAATTCTATGTTCTGGTTCTGGTCTCACAGTATTTTTAATTATTATTTTCACGTACTTTTATGAACTTTCAGCTTCTGCCAATATATAACAACAATTAAAAATTTTTTATTGCTACTAATGGCTTTTGATGTAATGCTGTTGCCAAGCTTAACAGGGATCACATGTTTTCCAACTGCTTTGTATGAAGCTTTTTTATATGGCCAAAACAAGAGACTGGAAAAAACAAAAGGAGTGATTTCATTTTTAGAATGACTCTAAAATGGATATTGGTATTAGTGAGCATGGGCTTAATTAAGAGTGAACAGTTGTTTGAGTTTAATTTATTAATATATTAATTAATAAACATTTGTTGAATACTTACTTCGTGCATGGAATTATGTTATCTGATTCTTTTTATTATAGTCCAGGGTTGACACTGACTCAACTGTGTCATTAGCTATACATCACTAGTCTCCAATTCCTGTGCTCTAACACTAGTCACACTCCCCCCTTGTTCATTTAGTAAATTTTTACCTCCATTATTTCCAGGTACCTCATCAATAAATCAATAAGTATTTTGATAGAAGATATTTAATTTGAGATAGGTAGAAGTGAATGAATAGATATTCTGATTTCAAGAAGTCAATCTTGTTGAATAGAGAAGGAATAAAAAGAAGATGGTATATAATTAAATGCTAAATTCAGTAGGGGACATGAAAGTTTAAAATCAGAGTGAGTAACATATATTAAAAACATTAAGAAAGGTTCTATACCAGCCACTCTCTGCTTTGAAGTCTTCTTTTTCTTCTCGTTTATGCTAGTATCAAGACTGCTCTTCTTTTCCTTCCTCTGTAACTTTTCTTCACTTGCTAGCTATTCCTGTGCTCTGTTATAATGTAGGAGTTAAAGGAACAGGGAGAATGCACTGGTATAGAGAAGGAGTCCATCGTCAGCTGTCCCCATTCAGTATTATACAATCATAGGTAATACATGATTTGTACATCACGTCAACTTAAGAGAGTCGGGGGAAAGGCAGAGTTTAGACCTGACCACCATCTGCTGAAAAGTTGACCCTAGGCTGAGTGAGTACTGGGGGACCACTCTGTTAGACAAACACTTAGTTGAATATACCACATTGTATGATATTTAATCAGATGGCAGAAAGGAATTATAAAACAAATTGAAATTTACTAGATGTATGCAAAGTAGCATTAACTAAGTTACAGATATTTTTTCCATCCTGATATTGTTATTGGCTGAAAAGTAGTATTCAATGAGAAAAGTATAGCAACTGAATTTAAAGACAATTGAATTCTGGCTCTGATTATATGGCTTTGATCTTTCATAGCCCCTATCAATGAAAAGTAAAGTAGAAGTTAAAGAGAAAAATCAGACTCATTTGATTTATTCTTACCAACAGAAAGCTAACATATCTTTCCCAAGGAAGACACAAAGTAATGTTTTTTTAGTTCAGAGAATTTACAGTAATCCAGGTTAGAGTTACCATCTTTAGCCAAATAACAAACACAAAAAGCACACTCACAGTTTGAATTTGAAATAAACAACAGATACACACAAATTCACACATATTTACATACAATTACATATATACTCTTAGTAAACTTAGTATAATTATGCCTTGGGCAATATTTGGAACACACTTTTTATTTCATTCCTTGTTTGTCTGAAATTCAAATTTATCTGGATGTCTTGTATTTTATATGGCAATCCCAGTTTAAGGTCTGGTCCTCAGTTCTCTAGGTTGAGAAGCAGATCTTTACTGGCATGTAGAAGGTAGGTCACGTCCTTGGCGGGAAGCCTCACATTAATGAACTCTCAATACTGATACATTCAACTACAATGTGGATTTGTTACTCGTATGATGAGAAAAATAGAAATAACAGGAATCCCAATACTCGTGTTTTCTTTATCTCTGCAATGTATCAGTATGTCCACTGCTACCACCCTGGTTCAAGCCACTATAATTTCTCACCTTGGCCTATTGTGATAAACTCCTAACTTCTTGTCTATATCTTTCATTTATTTACATACACAGTCAACAAATATTTATCAAGTGCCTGGTAAGTGCCTAGTACTTTGCTGAGCTGTGAGGATGCAGTAATGAATGAAAGAGAGCCCTTATACTGATAGAGCTTAATTGGGTGGAGACAAATAGGTAAAATATATACCATGGCATACGGTCAAAGATAAAGTAGAAATAGAAAGGGATATGATGTTTGGAGGTGTACATTTTAAATAGTAATCAAAGAAAGCTTTCCCTAGAGGTGACAAAGCCTGGAAGAGAGGGAGGAGGGAGCCATGTGGCTCTCTAGAAGAATATTTTAGGCTAGGGAGCAATAAGTGTAAATTTCTGTACCAAGTGAGTTCTAGAAGCAGCATGAAGTCTTGCAAGAGTGGGATGAGCTAGATAAAGTAGATGATTTTTTAAACCATTGTAAGAATTTGGACTTTCTCTGAGGAAGATGGAGAGCCATTGTGGGTTTTCAATAGAGGTGTAATATTACCTGACATATTATCTTTCTTATCTGAGTGATTTCATCTGGACCATTCTTGCTAGAGGAAAGGTAGGGTATGGTTATGGCTAAAACCAGGTAGTAGTGGTAGTGGTAATGAGAAGTGGTGTATTTCTGAATAAATTTTAAAGATAAAACTGAATGGTTTGTTGACAAATTTGGACTTAGTGAATGGAATAAGCAGAGTAATCAAGGATGACTTCAAAGGTTTTGACTGAATCACTTGAAAGATAAAGTTGTCAATTATTAAATAATGAAGATTGTGAGAGGAGGAGGTTTTGAGGGGGAATAACAGGAGTTTGGCTTTGGATATATTAATTTTGAATTATATATTATTCTTCCAAGAGAGTAGTTGAGCCTGAAAAATAAAAGAAGACTGGGCTGGAGGTATGAAACTAGGAGTCATAAATGGATAGATGGTATTAAAGCCTTGAGACTGACTGAGATGACCGAGGGAGGGAGTACAGTGAAAAAGTCTAGGGGATCTTACAGATGGAGTCTGAGAGATGAAGAGGAACCAGCAATATTGTCAGGTAGGACAAAAAAACAAGAAAATATTGTATCCTGGAAAACAAATGAAGAAACGTTTCATGAAGAAGGGTGAAAAACTGGGCCAAATGTAGCTGCTAAACTTTTAAGAAAATGATTGAGAAGTGGCATGAGATTTTTTAATCTAGATGTCATCAGTGGCCTTGACAAAAGCAGTTTCAGGGGAGTTCTGGGGTTAAAAGGATGGCTAAAGTGTGTATGAGATAAAATGAGAGAGGGCCAGGCATGGGGGCTCATGCCTATAATCCCAGCACTTTGGGAGGCCGAGGTTGGGAGGATTGCTTGATGCCAGGCTGACCAATATAGCAAGATCCAATCTCTACTAAAAATTTCAAAAACAAAAATTAAAAAAATTAGCTGGACGTGGTAGCACGTGCCTGTAGTCTCAGCTATTTCTGAGGCTGAGGTGGGAGGTTTGCTTGAGCTCGAGAGTTCAAGGCTGCGGTGGGCTGCAGTGAGCTGTAGTGATTGTGTCACTGCACTCCAGCTTGGGTGACAGAGTGAGACCCTGTCTCTAAAAAAAATAAAATTAAATACATAAAAATTAAAAATAAACAAGATAAAATGAGAGGAGAGAAACTGAAGAAAGTAAGTGTCAACTCCAGTGAGAAGTTTTGCTGAAAAGAGGAGCAAAGAATTGGTTCAATAATTGAAGGGGAAAGTAGGTCAAGAGATTACTAGTAGGTGAAAAGATTATTATTTTCTATAAGCTATAAATGTAAAACCATTTTTGGTTTTTTAATTTGCAGGTTTTGAGGGTGGGTCTTATTGAAGTTCACCTGCTGACAGACATCTAGTGTTCATGTGATAACAATATCAGAGGCAGAACTTTGCGCTGGATAGACTATCAGTTTGGCAGATAGTAGGGCATTTCTTGCATTCTTACATAGTTAACAAATTTATGTTTGATCTTTTTTTATTTAAATTATTTTTAAAGAATAAGTAGCTTTTAAAATCAAAATTTTCTTAATTTGTTAATAAAACACTTCCAAGGCCACAGTCTTGGTCTCAGTTTAAAATCTAAGACTAGTTTCATGAGGTCTGGGGTCAAACCTCTGTTCTCATGATTGGATACTGATAAGATGAAGAGGTGTCTTTGCTATCCATCTCCAGAATAACACCCCAACTCTATGTTGGCCCTACTCCTGATATCCCTAGTAGTTGGCCACTTCTGAAAAAATAGCAAAAGCATCAACTGGCTGAATTTAGACCTGCCTCAAAGCAGAGAAAGCCTGAGCCAGGCCTGGCAGTAGTAGGATCATGACTGAGAGTGGGAACTCACCTGTGCCAAGCCCTCAATTTTCCTAAAAATATTAATAGCCAGGGTAAGGAGTCAGCAGATGGAAAGTAGCTAGTGAAGAGGAAAAAAGAGGAAAGCGTGGAGGGAGATGGTTGAAAGAGGCCAAAAGATAAATGTTAACTAGTCCTTACACCCTTAAAAGGCGGATTGTATATTCTATCTAGATTTAGATTCTTTACATTTGCAAGTTTTCCCTAGAACAGCTTAGTCTTTCACCTAAGAAAGCATGGGAAAAATACCCTGGTTATCTTGGTTATCATAATTCTACCCTATCCCCCAAAGCAGAATTAACTTTCCTGCCTGATAGGACTTATGCTGATAGAATGAATATACTGGGTGGGTCTGGGTATGTGTATGGGTCCCACGACAGAATTGAATCACAATTGCAGCACTGCAACACTAACATATATCTTGGAATAATTTTATCATGTGCATATTTTTAAAGCTAACCAAAAATAAATGCAGCACTTTTTCCAAATGCTAATATGTAAGTTAGACTTCTCTTTCAACAAATTGAAGAGAAACTCGCTGGGGTTTTGTAACATGAGAAAGACACACCCAAAAATGTAAGAAGCAAGTGTAGAATTAACTTTACAACTAGGCTTACAGGAATACTGTACAACTTAATCAACAAAAGGGTAAAAATTAAGTAAATGTTCTTATATCCTTACGATGCAGCAATTTGATATGATATAAAGCAACATAGAAAACAACATAATAAAGGAAAGTAACGGAATGCAAAACTTCATTTTGAACCATGTGCAAGTTTTCATTTAAAAATCTGTAAAGAAATACTTTAAAATAATTGAGTAGTTATGTGGAAAATTAAGATTGGAACATTTTCTTGTTTTTACTGTTCATATTTCTATAATAGATAGCTATAATATATTTTAAATAAAAATATATCTGGGAAACAGAATGAATGGGTTAAGCAAACTTTTTCTTGAGGACAGACTTTATCACTAAAGTTCCCTCTTATTTAACTTTGAGAAACAGACCTAACTAGTAACCAGCTAATACTTAATGTTCTTCAATTCCAAATAAACAAAAATGACCCATGCTAGTGAGCAGGTTTTATGGAGCTAAGAAGATGACTGCAGCAGCTGATAAGACAGAAAGTGCCTTATAGTAGATAACAATACCAGAGCACACTGTTTAGAAATGTCTTGGTCTCACTTTGCTCTGCCAGCAAGTTCAGGGAGTTAACAATCAAAATTGCCTCATGTATTTAAACTTTGTGCAGTGAGTCATATAAACATTCTTTTAGTTAAATGGTGTAATAGATCTAAAAATCTCTTACCCGCTTTCTTTTCTCTCTGAGATGTATCACGCTGTGATATAAATACCCACAGTATTTTACAGGACAATGAACTTAGCTTTTTCTAAGGCCAGTAACTTTTGCTGATTAGTGGAAATCTAGAGAGCTGTAAAATGGCTGTTTGGCGCAATCTTGGGGCTCTTAGAAGTACATTTAGAACATATTTTAAGTTTCAATGTGTTCATAGTTCTAAACCCCCCCACCAAAAAAAACTGTATATCCATGAATAGTCATATAAAGGATAAAGCACACCAAAAACCTACGACCAAGGGAACTACTAATTCTGACAAATAGCCAACCCAGAAAACTTGTAATATTTAATTTTGATCTGTTTATTTCTTTTTTTCTACCCTTCTAGGGATGGGCCAGTTGAATAGAAGTTTGAGATGATGGTTTAAAAGTTTTAGTAATGTATTCATTCTTGCCCTAATACAGTATGTTTCTGTTGGTCACATATCTTATCTGCTGTGCTGGGGACTTTTTTTCTCTTCCCTTCTTTTCATTTTTTTCACTAAAGAAACTGTGATGTCATCAATGTTCTATTAACTCAACCATAGCAGTAAAAGTGCCTTATCATTATAGAAATGCTCTACTGCTCATTACTAGGAATGTGACTTGGTTCAGGATTTGCCTTTTCTCTGTGTCAACTGCTCTAGCCTGCCAGGTCTCTCTCAGAAGAGTCCTGGAAAATGAAGACATCAAATACTGTTGGGATCCAGTGACATTCCTCTCTTCAGTCCTCACAGAGTGGGCCTGAAAAGCAAGCCTCCACTTATTTTGGTTCTAATAAAGACTGAACAATGGGTGGCTGTGTGCAAAGCCTTTTTCCCTATCCAGTCTATAGTCATTATCCAAGGAATCTCCATTCACATGAGGATAATGCACAGGGCCTCTCTCCTTGTTTAGACTATAGCTAACTCTATCTTAAGGCCCTCGTTTTCTTTCTGGCATTTTAATCCTTAGACTTACAGAGCTACCCAAGAATTAAATAAGCGAAGTTAGAAGAAAATGCTGATATCTCTAGCTCATGGAATGCTAACGTAAAGATATCTCGTGTTTTTTTTCCTCCAGATGCTATCTATACTTATGTTAAGCATCTTCAGAGACACCATGGATGATCTTCATTCTGAATCCCAGGAAGAATTCTGGAAAGCAATCACCTACCTCTTGATATTTTCTCCGTCAGATATTACCTAAAGGTTTTTATTTTTAATTTACTCTCATCTAGACACAGTTCTTTTTGGGGTTGAGAAAAGTTTATTTTCAGAACTAAAAATTAGCTTTTTGCCCCAGCAAAAAGATGAGATGATATTTTCAAGGAAATGTCTCCCTACAAATTTGACAGTTTTTTTTTTTTAATTGCTTAGTGAATACTGAATTCACTGCTAAAAATAAAGGCATGCCTTTTGGTAGTTTATGAAGAGCATGAAACAAAGTTTGATGTTTTTTGGACTGTTAAGCCACTGTTACATTTATAAGACACCCAACACATAAATAAAAAAAAATATTTCAAGTCTGTACTCAACGGTTGAATTTATTAAATTGGTGCAAAAGTAATTGCAGTTTTTGCCACTAAAAGCAATGGCAAAACCAAAGGTAAGGTCATCCACTGGCTGATACAGTAAGTAATACATAATTATAAAGTAGGCAACACTGGAAACTTAAGATAGAAATCCAGAGTTTGGCCAATAATATTACTGATTTAATGTTTTTTGTTGTTGTTGAGACGAAGGCTTGCTCTGTCACCCAGGCTGGAGTGCAGTGGCGCCATCTCTGTTCACTGCAAGCTCTGCCTCCCGGGTTCAGGCCATTCTCCTGCCTCACCCTCCCGAGTAGCTGGGACTACAGGCATCTGCCACCACGCCTGGCTAATTTTTTGTATTTTTAGTAGAGATGGGGTTTCACCGTGTTAGCCAGGATGGTCTCGATCTCCTGACCTCATGATCCACCTCCCGCGGCCTCCCAAAGTGCTGGGATTACAGGCATGAGCCACCGTGCCTGGCCTTACTGATTTAATTTTAACTCAATTTCTCCTGGAATGTTTTCTAGGCTCCTGATTGTTAATATCATAAATTCCTACTTATGCAAGGCAAATTATAGAATTTACATGGTCAGTGAACTTGGGTTTTCTCTCCACAGTCACTTCAATTTTAGATTAGGTCTTTTCAACAAAAGAAGGATGACTACAGGAAGTTGGTTAAATTATGGAAATACTACTCACACATAACTTGGAATTTCTATGAAAAATACTTAGGGAATGAAAGTAGTTGATTTCAGTGTAGATTTGGAATTTTCTTGGGGGTATCAATTTTATCTTCAGTAGTTTTGTCTTCCATTTACATGGATAGTTGAAGGTTGGCTCTAAGAAAAGTAAGAATAAACCATTAATAAATTTTTGTTTCAAAATTAGTGGATATTTTTATACTGCACAATCTTAGTTGTTCCTCAAAGAAATTCTGAAAAAAAAATCAGCAAAATAAATGTTATCATTTTGATATGATATGCCTCCATTTTTACATGTGGAAATGAATTAATCTCTAAAAGACTTGATTTTTTATAAAATATTTTTCATTTGTATTGTTTCACATGAGAGATGTCCAGTTCAAAATAGTCTATTTTTTTTTTTTTAATAAAAGGAATTTATTGACTCAGGTAACTGTGAACTCCTACGGTGAAGTTTGTTTTAGTTAAGGCTGGCACAGGACATCAAACTCTGCCTTCCACCTCTCAGCATTCCTTCCGGCTGTGAGTTGCCCTCATAGTCCTCTGTGGTAGTATGAAATGCAATCAGAGTGATGGTGACTGGCAACTGCAGATTTACATGATCCAAAATGTGTAACTTCAGAGAAAGATAATTTATTTATCTTAACTCAATATATCCATAGCGGGAAGCCATTTGATTATTCCACATCATGTCTTCAAAACCATGAAGTTCTATGAATAATCAACATTGGGTCTTATGGATTTCTTTTCTGGCATAGAAATGGTGTGTATCTTCCAACAAGTCACATTATGAATCTAAGTAAGTTTTTTAAGAGTCAGGGTCTCAGTCTGTTGCCCAGACTGGAGGACAGTGATGCCACCATAGCTGGCTGCAGAGTTGAACTCCTGGGCTCAGGGGATCCTCCCATCTCAGTCTCCTGAGCAGCTGGGATAACAGGCATGAGCCACCACACATGACTGAATCTAGATAATTAATTGTGAAAAATTACAGAATACTTACTTTTAAATTAGTTTCACTTTTAAACTCTTCCTTGCCATAGGAAATACAGAATAAGATTCACCACTTAAATGTGTATTCAATATCTCAAATTTAACATGTCCAGAACTGAGATTCACCATATCTGCTCTTCCACAATCTCTACTTTAGTTGATGCCTGCTACATTTCCCCTGGCTATTTAGACAAAAAACCTTATGGTCATCCTTAACTTTTTTCATTCCTTATAGCTAATCCATCAGTAAAATCTGTTGGCTCTATGGGTGTCTTAGTCCCTTTGGACTGCTATAATAAAATACCATAATCTGGGCAGCTTATAAACAATAGAAATATTTTTCTCACGTTCTGGAGACTGAGGAGTTTATGATCAACGTGTTGGTAGATTCAGTGTCTGGTGAGAGCCTGGTTTCTGGTTCATAGATGTTGGCTTTTTGCTGTGTTCTCTCATGGTCAAAGGGGAGAATGAGCTCCTTTGGGTTTATTTTATAAGGAATAAATAAATGAATAAATAGAATGAATAAATAGAATGGAATTCATGAATAGAATTTGTAAAATAAACCCAATGTTCTCTCACCATCTGCTATAGTACCACGTGAAATTAACGTATCATTATCTTATGCCTGGATTATTGTAACAGCCTCTTAACTAGTCTTCCTACTCCCATGCTTAGCCTCTTTCAATGTATGTCTTCCACACAGCCAGAGTCTTCCCTTACAGTCTACCTTCAGTCACATAACCCCTCTGCTCAGCATTCTCCAGTGGCTTCCCATCTCATGTAGAGTAAAAACCAAAGTTTTTAAATGACCTAATAAGACAATTTATGAACTTGCTCCTAGTTCCCTTGCTGATCACATCTCCCAATATATTCCCCTATCTCCCTCTGCTCCAGTCTCATGGGCTTCCTTGTTCTTGAACATATCAGCCCTCCTCCTGATCTATGGCCCTTGTATCTGTTGGAATCTCTGCCTGGAATTCTCACCCCCAAATTCTCCATTCTTTACTTCGGCCATCTTTAACTTTCTCATCTTGCTATTATCTTCCTTAGCTAACCTACCTAAAATTGCATCCCATCAGTTTCTGGTCTCTTCCCTACCTAATTTTTCTCCTTATCATTAGTTATTTAATGACCTTGTCTCTTCCATCTAGGCACCATATATGGAATAGTCCCTGTCAAGCTGGCCGCGGTGGCTCATGCCTGTAATCCCAGCATTTTGGGAGGCCAAGGTAGGTGGATCACCTGAGGTCAAGAGTTCGAGACCAGCCTTGCCAACATGGTGAAACCCCATCTCTACTAAAAATACAAAAATGAGCCAGGAGTGGTGGTGGGCACCTGTAGTCCCAGCTACTCAGGAGGCTGAGGCAGGAGAATCGCTTGAACCTGGGAGGCAGAGGTTGCAGTGAGCCAAGATCACACCACTGCACTCCAGCCTGGGTGACAGAGCGAGACTCTGTTTCAAAAAAAAAAAAGAATAGTACCTGTCACATAGTGGGTATTCAATAAATATCTGCAGAATAAATGAATGAATGAGTGAAAAAATGGCTGAGGAAGAAGTGTTGAAGATTGTTGACATCATAAGAGGTTAGTCCACAGAAAAGTGAATTCAGTTCACAATAGACCACATGGTCTAGGTCTCAAAGTACATCAGGCAGTGATGGAACCAATACACTTACAGTATACAATGATTGGCATATACACATATGGCTATGAGCATCTTGCCCTTTCTACTTATTCTCTATTATTGGAGTTCCTCAGTGATATTTGATAGAGGCATCTTCCTGCTATGATCTGTTTTAGTTTGTATGTATATACTGCAGTAAATAGTCACTCTTCTCACCTTTATTACTGGTGATAAAGGAGAAGTAGAGGAAGATGGGAACAAACATAAACAGAAGAAGTAACTGGCACAATTTTGTAGTTTATAAATTATTTAGGTGATGATATTGTTTATAACGCTGATCTATTCAGTTTATTGCCTTTATATAAATAGGAAGTAGGGTTGTATCATTACAATAGCAGCTCTACTCTTACAACTCTCAAAAGAATTTTTCAACATTATCTATTAGTAACTTAAGCTAAAATTATGAACAATGTTAAGGTCTAATAAAACAGTTTTAAAAATGAACCATCTTTAAAAATTTCCACTTATTATTGCTCTTTTGTTCTGAGAGATGTTGCCCCCATAGTTAGCAGAGAACTAACAACCTTAGGCACCCTTGTAATTACCATAATTTGTTACAGCTAACTGACCATTTCTCTTTGTGGATTAGTTTGAGGGTTGCATGTGGCATATGTTAATCTGCAGCAACCTTTCCAAAGATGTTGAATTATGAGCTTTGCAAGACTCTTTTGATGCCTAATTTCATCCAGCTTCACAATTTGCCAAGTTGTATTTTTTTCTTCTTCTAGCAAATGAGCTGTCTGCTAGTTCTTGCCCCCCAACTCTGAACCCCCATGCATTTAAGATTATCCGTCAGTCTTTGTTTGTCCAAAGTTTTTCTATGATGTACCTAATGTGATTTCTTCGTATTTATCCTAGTCAGTTTTGTAGGGCTTCTTGGCTTCTGAGGTTGATATCTTTTGACAGTTTTGGAAAATTCTCAGCCAGTGTCTGTTCGAATGTGATTACTGCCTGTTGTCTCTCTCCTCTCCTTCCAGGAATCTGATGATATTTCTTATTGGAATATTTTACTGTGGCCCATATGTATCTTAGCCTCTTTTGCACACTTTCCATCATTTTTGCTCTCTGAGTAACCCCAGTATTTCCCACTGACCTATTTTAGAGTTCATAATCCTATCTCCTGCTATTAAACCCATCTATTGAGATTCTAAATTCTGTAATTGCATTTTTAGTTATAGAGTTTCCATTTGATTATTTCTGTATCTGTCATTTATGTTTTAAACATATAAATCAAATTTCATATCTGATAACTTCACTAACCAGGTCATCTATACATCTGTTGATTATGTATACTTTTTGTCCCTTGGGTCCTGTCTCTTAAAATGTTTAGTAATTTTTAATTTAGTAACTAACATTGTATCTAAAAAAATTTAGAGACTCTAAATGGTGCTATACTTATAGAAAGTTCATTCTCCTCTGGCAGATACGTATAGTGGGGCTCTATCTACCAATATTCCAACAAACTCTGGTTCTTCCCAATATGGTGTGGTCCTCCAAGGATTGCAATAGGGAACTTGTAGTCTTTATTATACTACATTTTAGAGACTGTGATTTACATTGTATTATGTTGGTGCAAAAGTAATTGTGTTTTTTTGCTATTACTTTTAATGGCAAAACCCGGAATTACTTTTGCACCAACCTAATAGTCCTTTGCCCTTGAACAGTTTAATAATTTGACCAACATCTAAAGTGGAAATCCACTACTATTGGGTTTAGTTCCTTTTCATTCCCACATCTCCAAGATCGTGGATCTCAAGTCCTAGATGTTTGGCAATCCTGTACTCCAACTCTTGTCTGTTCATCTCTTTAAGATTACCAGAAGCTCTGTTGGCTTCCTTGCCTTCCTTCCTAGCAGAGGCCACAGGGGTCTCTAACTCTTGAATTTCAGTTCACATCTCTGCATTGGCCTTCCTACTAAGATTCTCCTCTTTCAAGTGCTGGTTGTCTCACTAGCTCTCTGATACCTTCAAACAGACTTTTTTTGGTTTTAATTTTGGGTTTTATTACCGATAATAAATCTGTTTTCCCTAGTTGTCCTTAGCAAGAGCAATACTCCATTACATTTAGAAGTGAAATTCTGTATTTAAATTTCTAAAGTAAATTTTTATTTCTAAAATTGTAGTTAATTTTTTTGGCACCTGGAATGTTTGCCTTCTGTAAGTCTTCAGCAGCATCATTCAATAGAAATAAACCCATATGCTGCTCAATTTTCCAGTAACCACAATTTTAAAAAGTAAATGTGAAATTAATTTTGTAATATATTTTATTTAACTCAAACTATCTCAAATATCATCATTCAATAAATTACCAGTATAAAAATTAACCATACATTTTACATCCTTTTTTTCAAATTGTTTGTGAAACCTGGTGTGCAACTTACACTCAATTAGATCTCAACTTGAACTAGCCATATTTTAAGCAGGGGGTAGTTATGTGAAGTTAAGTGGCTACTGCATCTGAACATGCAGATGTAGATAGCAAAAAAAGAGGTAAATTTAATAAAAATGTGAAGAAAATGTAGCTTAAGTATATTTTGAAAAAGAAAAGTTGTTACTTTTGGTGATATTTCTGTTAATTAATTTTTTTGTGTTTTATTTTTTCTAGATCTTTTTGGGACCTGGAGAAAAGGGAAGGTAGAACTGATTGATAACTTCTATTTATATAGAATTAAAAGAATATGAAAAGTTTAGATAAAGGAGCATAAATAAAAATCTTCTACTGGCAAACATTTCAGAAGTTTTTTTTCAGAAAACAAAACACATACCAGTCTTTAATTTTTATTGCTTTGATATCTGCTTTAGTTTATTTGAGTATCTGTAGAATGCAGGCTACATGTTTAGGTGAAATTGGTAGACCATGGCTATCTACCCCGTGATACAAAAATCATATTTCTGGGCCTGAAATACCTTCCCAATTCATTTATAGCTACTGCCATATCTGTGGCAGATGGTAAAGCCCTTCCTTAACTGTACAATTAGAGAAAGAAAGAATAAAAGAAAATCCTCAAGAGTTAAATAGCACTAAGAGAGGTAACACATTGACTTAAATTCTAAGAGAAAAATGGGGACTTTCTTGACCTTTCTTCTTACAGCTGTTGATGGTGATACAAGTAATCAAGTATTTAAGCAATGGAGGATGGAAGACAAATAGTCAAATGATACTTGCTAAGATTTACTGGGTACCTGTAACATTGTCTTATAGCTTCACAACAGTTTCTAATGTAGGTGTTATAATTATTCTCAACCACATTCTGCAGATACGGAAATCATGACACAGAAAGGGTATTCGTTTAAAGTTTCATGGCAAATAAATGATGAAACTGGAATTTTAACTGAGATTGACTTGCTCCCGACTCTGAAATCTGAACTGTTGCTCTCTATTGTCTCCCGCATATAACATACAATTTTGCCTTGACCTAGACCCCCTGTTAAAAACTGTGGCTTTTAATATTCTGTGTAATTCATTGCATAGAGATGTCAGAATGATTTTAGATCACCTATAAATACCTCCTGGAGATTACCTGAATCATTGCATTTTATCTTTGTAATTTTAAGGAATATTTGAATTATGCTAGTTGAGAAAGAAAGAGACAAAGGGTGTCAGTTCCCTGGGTTTTGAGTAGATAATGGCAAAGTTTCTCCTATAATTCAGGGCTCTCTGACAGCTAAGTCAATATTGAAAACTGTTAGGGTTAATATTCCTTTGCCTGTTATGCTCAACAGGGCATTATGCAGTGAATGATTCTCTTTCATACTCCAAGATATTCTGACATCAGGCAGATTCAATTTTAGCCATAATTTCATTAAGAAGAATCTGCTGGAAAGACAACCACGGACTGGACTGAACAGTATTATGAGTGAAGTGCTAATTCCATTTTCCCTAACTTTGTTCATATACCTTGGTCTTGTATTTCATTTAATGTAGCATAAGTCGCTTCAACATTAGTAATGAGCTCTTTCAACAACCATATCGCTTCCATTTTCCACCCTATGCTATGTCCTGTGTCTTCTAGAAGTTTCCTCTCCCTGGGGTCACTTGCTAATGAAGATCCTTCTCAATCTCTGATTTTCATGTGGATTTCTGTGCATATTAAAGTTGCCAGCCTGACAGATGAAACTGATCTCTGTCTAAGGAGTGGATAGAAGAGGGAGGCAACAACCCTCTATGTGGTAGCCTGCCAACATGGCTGCTTCTCGCGAGGGAAGAGAGATGCTCCATCTGAAGCCTCTTTGCCAGTAGTATCTGGGTGAATGCCAACTGTGATTATGTGTCTGCTAGTCTCAAGTTCCAGAGTGAAGGAAAAAACTAGTAAAGAGCTTCCTTGGACTCCAGTCTAACTATCTTTATGTCCTCCTGCTTTACGAAAGCAACCTATTATGCCAATTCCGGCCAGGTGCGGTGGCTCACGCCTGTAATCCCAGCACTTTGGGAGGCCGAGGCGGGCGGATCACGAGGTCAGGAGATTGAGACCATCCTGGCTAACACGGGAAAACCCGTCTGTACTAAAAATACAATAACTAGCTGGGCGTGCACGCGCCTGTAATCCCAGCTACTCAGGAGGCTGAGGCAGGAGAATCCCTTGAACCGGGGTGGCGGAGCTTGCAGTGAGCCGAGATCCGGCCACTGCACTCCAGCCTGGAGACAGGGCGAGACTCCATCTAAAAAAAAAAAAAAAAAGAAAAAGATAAGAAATACTGCCAATTCCACTTCAGGTCTGCCCACTGATGTTACACACCTGTCTCTTCAGAAAAATAGATACCTCCTAAGAGCGCAGTGTCAATTCTGAGTGCTGACTTTTAAATTGAAGAGATGGGAATAGAAACTGAACTACTTGTCATCTGTGAGTACTGTATTTTGCCTCTTTTGTAAATGAGAAGAAATTAATAAATACCAAAAAACTTTGAAGTCGGCTTGTTTTTAAATAAAATAACAATAAAAAGCTGTGATGAGTTGTGGTATCACTGTAGCAAAGTAGTGGTTGCAAAATAATCTAGTCCTGAGATACCTAACATGATGCAATTCCAGAATTGAGGAAACCGAAGCATGGTATTGTAAACTCAGTTTTTCTTTCTATTTTTTTATTTGGCTCTGCAAATGAAATAGTACAATGAAATCCAAAAGAATAATCTCGGAAGAGATAGTAGTCCCTTTGGTAAGCAATCTCATAAGATGTATTCTATAGTCAACTAAACGTGTGTGTGTGTGTGTGTGTGTGTGTGTCCTGTACTTTTTACCCAGTCATTCCACCTATAGAAATTTATCCTTGATAGAAGTGCCTGTGAACATATGTACATGTGAACAAAAAATTTTACTGTAGCTGTATTTATAAGTGTGGGGAAAAGGAAACATTCTCAACATTCTTAAACAGGGAAATTACTGTTAATATCCATTTTGGAATAATTTTTCAGGCCATTATATTGCCATCTGATTATTTGTAGGTATGTACAATTTGTTAGAAAAGCAAATGGCATGAAATCAAATATATGATCCCCTTTTGATAAGCACAATGAGATTTAAGAACAACAAACTCTTCCAACCATAATCCCTTTATGTGTGCAAATAATATCCTTGTATGAGCATGGAGAAAGGCATGGAAAGAATCAATCTAAGTTATAAGAAAAGCCTATGCAAGAAAGGAAATAAAGAAGACTTAGGGAAAAATATTTTTAAAAATAAAACATGCAAACAAAGAGATGTATAGACTCAAGTTTATGAAAAGGCCAGGATGCTTGTATTATAAAATCACTTAACTATCTCCTCCATTGCCTGCTACAATTTCTTAATTTTCCCCTGTAAGAATAATTTCATAGATTTTGTGAGTCTATACATGCAAATTTGTCTTTGAATGATGTCAATAAGAGCAATTTATTTTTATTACATTCATTTGTCATGTGAGGTAGATGAGACTGGGGGTATCTCTGACATGAGGTGTTCTTAGGAGGCAAATCTTAGCCAAATATATAGCTGCGGCAGATTCAGGCATCTTAAACTCATGTGAGAATACTCAGAATAGAATGAATGCCCAGTTTGCATATTTTTAGAAGAAAAATTTTTCTAGCACATGCCTCTATCTTCTTATTGGCCTGGTTTTTAATCACGTATAACTCTACACTAATATTGTCAATGGAATGGGATTATTCTGATTGGCTTAAGCTAATCAACATTTTGCCCCTGGAGTTGAGGAGGGACCAATGAGACAGATGGCTGCCTAATAACTAAACAATAGCAGGGTGCACAAGTAAGAAACAAGGCTATAGTAAGAAGCAATGGCTATGGAGCAGGCAACCAACATTGTCCACCCAGCCTTCATTTTATCTACTCTACTAAAGATGGTTTGCCTGAATGGCTGCCTTTCCTACTAAAGAGGATTAATGTACTAAATATATATTATTTATATATCCCATGCATTTAATGCTTGAATACAACGCAAATGAACCTTAGTTTATATAACACTCAACACTTGCTACATACCTTTTCTTTGACTTACTGTGAAACAAAGCTATCCTCAGGTGTTTGGGAGATTTCTCACCAGTGTATACTACTAAAATGCAGGGAGGTAAATGTGAAATTGTTTCAGTAGATTGTTTATGAGGTTATGCATGGCTGGGTGATTGACTCATCAGTTGAATACAGCGGGAAAATTGGCCTTTAGATGTTTTTAACTATAGAAATAATGCTATAAAAATCAGTTGCAAGTCACATAGCTAAATTTCTAGTATTCAATTAAAAGATCATCATATCACACATAATAAAATAGTGTCTTTTGTAAAATAGATAATAACATTTTAAAAATATACAGTTACTGATTTTGAAATTAAAGTGATGCTGCCAAAATTTACTTGCTCCAAATGACTTCAGTGAAAGACTCGTTACAAAAAAAAGTAAAGGTGAATGGCTGTCTCGAGAATCTAGTTAAGAGTTTGCTCCTGGCCAGGTGTGGTGGCTCACACCTGTAATCTGAGCATTTTGGGAGGCCAGGGCGGGCGGCTCACCTGAGGTCAGGAGTTTGAGACCAGCCTGGCCAACATGGTGAAACCCATCTCTACTAAAAATACAAAAAAGTAGCCAGGCATGGTGGTGTGCACCTGTAATCCCAGCTACTTGGGAGGCTGAGGCAGGAGACCCACTTGAAACCAGGAGATGGAGGCTGCAGTGAGCTGAGATCATGCTACGGCACTCCAGCCTGGGTGATGGAGGGAGAGTCCATCTCAATAAATAAATAAATAAATAAATAAATAAATAAATAAAACAAATAAAAATTTTAAAAAAGAGTTTTCTCCTGTGGTGCATAGGGTCTGAAGCCCACACGCAGAGATCTAGGGAGCTAAAGTTGCATCTTGGTTATAGAGGCAACAATTTTGATTCCTCATCGATGGTGACATCCAGGAGCCGTATGGCCTGAAAAACCTGGGAACTGGCCAACAACATGCAAGAAACTCAGAGTATCCATGAAATCTACAAATAGACAAGAAGCAGCAGCATGAAATCCTGGCAACAAAGCCCTGGGTTAACAATCACCATTACTTTAAAGTACTGCAAAATCTCAGCATTAGCTCTACTGAAGATGATGATGCATGCCAGGTCAGGGGGCAACTTGGAAGTGATGGGTTTGATGCCAGGAAAGGTAGATGGTGAAACCACGATTATTATGGGCAGTTTTACTTTGCCTGTGGAGGGCACTGAAACCCGAGAAAATGCTGAGGCTGTTGCATATGAGTACATGGCCACATACACAGAAAATGCCAAAAAGGTTGGCCGCCTTAAAAATGCAATCGGATGGTATTATAGGCACCCTGGCCATGGCTGCTGGCTTTCTGGCATCATGTTAGTACTCAGCTGCTCAATAAGCGGTTCCGGGAACCATTTACAGCAGTGGTGATTGATCCAACAAGAACAATATCTGCAGGGAAGGTGAATCTTGATGCCTTTAGAACATACCCAAAGGGCTACAAACCTCCTGATGAAGGACCTTCTGAGTACCAGACTATCCTGCTTAATAAAATAGAAGATGTTTTTGTACAATGCAAACAATATTATGCCTTAGAAGTCTTGTATTTCAAATTCTCTTTGGGTTGCAAATTGCTTGAGCTTCTGTGGAATAAATATTGGGCAGGTACACTGAGTTTCATTGTTGGGTTTAGAAACACATGATCGAAAATCAGAAGACAAACTTGCCAAAGCCAACAGAGACAGGAGTAAAACTACAATAGAAGCTATCCATGGATTGATGTCTCGAGTTATTAAGGATAAACTGTTTGATCAGAGTAACATCTCTTAAACAGTCACTGAGAAGCACTTTTGCCCAAAAAACAATATGAGAAAAATGCTCAAGTAACACTTTAAAACTAATTACCCAAAATCTGATTAAAAGTATAAGGTGCTCTGACTTGTCTTGAATACTAACATCCTGTAATAAAACTCTTTAAATTTTTTTTAAAAGGGCTTTTATTTGGGCTTCTCTTTTTTGCACAAATTCATTGGTCTACATTAACCACCTTTTTACTTAGGTTTTTTTTCCCTCTAATTTCTCTCCCTTTTTTGAAAGACTAGAGAAACAAGACTTCATTATCAAGTACTCTTTTGTCAAGGTTATATCCGAGCATTGAAATTACTGACCACACTTATTCTCATAATTTTTCAGGACCCTATAACTTTTGAGGAGGGTTTGTATATTAGTCCTGACTTCTAATTTTAAAATATTGGATAGCTAATGAGTTTTAATAACAAAACAAATACTGGATTAAGCTTTAGATAAATGGATTTCATAGAAATCAAATACTTATCTGTGTAGAGCTTGTATCATATTTGCTTTTGATATAAAATTTAAATCAATATTTACTGCATTTAGGTTTAGCTAATCTTTATTTTGAAAGCCAAATAATCAAAAATAAAAATAGCCAACAAAAGCTCATTTTACTTAAAGAAAGTGTGGTAAGTATAAAATGGTTTTAAACATCTTTCAGAAAATAGAATGAAAAATTATAATTTTTTATGTATAAATGTATAAGAAAAATTTTGTCTGAAACATTTAAATATTACTACAAATTTTATCCTAATACTTGATTTATATCCATGTAATTGTTGAAGTAAAATTGACATTTGTGCACCTCTGCTGATTTCTTTTCTATGAAAAGCATCTCAGATTTTGGCATTCTCTCTCTCTCTCTCTCTCTCTTTTTACTTACTGGTAATCTTGTAAATGGTAAACTTGAATATGGGCAGTTGGGAAGCCCTTAGTTTTCTAGAAGGATCCAATTAGGGGAAAACAAGGGTTGGATCAAATCTCTTGGAATTCTTCAGAATGTTAAATCATAAGAATCTGTACTGTGTTGCAACATAGACTAGTTATAGTCTATATTCTTTTCAGAAGAATAATCTTGTATTCAGTGTTTCTAACAAAAGCTAAACAAAAGAAATAATGTTGATGCAAGATCATTTGGAAGATATACACTGCATCTATTATTTTAGATAAGAAAGAGTATACTCCAGAATTTAGCCAGGGCATCCAAAATCATGATAGCCCACTTGTAGGATGGCATTTGCCCAAGTGGGGATGGTAAGAAATATGGGACTAAGGAGAAGATACTATGACAAATTTCTGAAGTCCTTTGTACCACTTATTATAAGGGTGTGGTATTAATAGATGATACTGTTTAATGCATGATATTATACAATGTCCTCTTAATGGGTATCCTTGAGGAAATTTATTTCTCATTCTATGATATTTTATAAGGTTCTCATTTTTAACTTTTTTTCTTGGATTAATCTTTTTATTATAACTTATTTTATTTTGCTTTATGTTGTATATATTTTAACTTTCTTTTAAACTATTTTGGATCATGCCCAAGATACATAGTTTGAGGCAGAATGAGAGAGAGAAGAGGAAAGAAAAGAAGGGAAGGGAAAGGAAGAAAAGGGAGAATGAGAGAATTCTGTTTTGTATTTCTCCTATCATAAGTTATAGGCTCTTACAACAAAGGGGATCGTAGAAATAGAATTAGTGATTTCTCCTTTGGTTTACAACAATGTTTTTTTTTTACAAATAGCGTTATTTACAACAACGTTATTTTGAAAATGTAAGAAATTTATGTAAATTTGTTAAATGATATTCAGATTGACTTTAAAGAAAGCTGTTGGATTGGATCAAAATAGATGAATTTCAAATCCAAACAAAAATTGGAGGTTTTCAGAAGTCAATAAACAGGTTTTTATCTTACTTTTTTGGTTCAAAAAAATTTTTTTGTAGATACATGGGCTCACTATGTTGTCCAGGCTGGTCTTAAACTCCTGGCCTCAAGAGATCCTCTCACCCTGGCCTCCCAAAGTGCTGAGATTACAGGTGTGAGCCCCTGCGCCCAGCTTATCATAGGTTTTTAATAGGTAGTTTGATAGTTTATTTGACTATTAGCCTGGACAGGCTAGTTTGGGGAATTAAAATTGGGTATTAATTATATCAATTCTAAAAGTATGCACTTAAGCAAAATCTGGATTATTTTCCATCACAAAGTTTATTCTCTCAAACTGTCCATGATTTTGGTTCTAAGGGAAACTGAATAAGAAGTTTGTCATTGAAATCTATTATCTTACTGGAAAATCTCTTAAAGTAATTCTTGAAGTATATGACCTTTTAACGAGATACAATAAAACAGCAACTTGATTACTGGTAATTGTTAGTGTGAACTTTACTGATAGTTAAATTTGTAAAAAGACAACTAGTTTTGTTTTTGTGGGATCAAAAATGTATTTCAAGCAGTTTATATGATAGTTTCCAAGATTAGAAAACCTTGGCCTGATTCCAAAACTATGAAAAAAATCAGCTTCAATATTCAACGCTAAAGCATTCATGAGAGAGATGCAGTCATTCAGAAAGCTGAGTTCAACATAGAACAAAATGAAAACCACAGCCTCTCAGACCACTCCCTCCTTCCACCTTCTCATATTGCAAATACAATATTTCCATTATCAGAAGATCCATTTTCAAGTCAGAGCTGCTGCTAAAACAGCCTAACTGGAGGGGGAAGAAATGGCAAAACAGTAAAAAGAAATGCTTTGTAAATCACCCTTCAAAAGCTGTCCTGGGAGGAATGTGATATACCTCAGCATCTTATGTGTTTAGCAAATAATTTCAGCTGTGCATTCTAAACGTAGCTTTCCCTCCTTTACCTAATTACCGAAATATGTGCTGCAGTTTGCAGAACTTCGCCACTGTCATAACTTTTCTTGAAGTTCAGCCAACCAATGATAATAAAGCTGTCACGAGATTAAAGGGGGCTGCAAGTCATTGCTTCTGACATTTATATGTACCATGGGAAATGCAAACAAGTATGTGGAGTTATTAGTAATATTATGGGCTTTGAATCCTTAAAATAGAGTGCTTAAGACATCTGCCTCGGCAAGGAAGGCGAGAATTGAGGTAAATCCAAATTGCGTCCTCCTTTTGTATAGAACAGGAAGCCAAGCTCAAGAAAGCATGGGGAGTGGTTTATTCCATTTCCTTCGTGTGGCGTCGGTATGAAGCATATGCCTCAGATACACACCCTTAGAAGGGATAATCTCGGTTGTGGAGAAAAGAAAGTTGTAAAACTTTACGTAAAACACATGGGGTCTTTCTTGGGGCCCTTCTCTGGCCCGGCCTCATGTCACTGATTTTAGCACCAGCTCTGGGCTTGGAGTAAGACAAGGCAGTATAAAGGATGCAGGAAAACTCTCCTCAGAGGTTTTGCTGCTATGCAGAAGTTTCTTTGATTTTTATTTAGTGAAGTATACCAAATTAGGAACAAAAGTTTAAAGGAAAAAAGTACTACGTTGTTTTAAAAACAGGAGGAAAACTCATGTTTTATCATTGAGTTCTATCCTTATTATTATTTTTTTAACCTTATTCTTATCTCTTCTCTGTCTTCCCTTTGGTTTTGAGGTGTATCAAAAAGAAGTTGAGTCTAAGTCTGGAACATTTGTCTTTTCCTTTCAATTATGCAAAAGGGCAATGCACTTCATTATTTTTGGTGATAATAGATTCCCAAAAATCTAGGCTGATTCAGAGCTATACTTCGTCAAACACAAAAAAAAACTTTAATTTTTCAAAATAATCTTTTAAAATTGTTATTTTGATGCTGATTTTCAGCTATAAATTTGGCTTCTGGAGATTAGTCAGCGAATGAAGAAAATACTGGCTCTTTGTAGTTGATATGTTGATAATTTGAAACCAGATCTTTTTCAGGAAAGCTTTGACTCTGAAAATACCGCACACAAGCCTTCCTGATTTGTTCATCCCTGTCCTACTCTAGGAAACTGCAGTTTGAGTGTGATTAGTGCAAAGATCCTAAATTGCATAGGATAAGGTACTAGAGGTATTTAGGAGGAAATAGAATATGGAGAAAAGAGACTGGGAGTTCTGAAGCATTTGGCATAGTTTCGATTCTGCTAATAACTATAATTATCACCAAATGAGCACCCACTGTATGCCAGGTACCGTGTTAGCTGCTTTCCATAAACAGAATGCATTTAATTAGGACTTAGGTTTTCTACCTGGCATGATCTTATTTAAGGAAGCAGACTTTTTTTTCTTTAAATGATTAAACATTGCTTAGAGTGAATTTTATTTTAAGCCTAAGTTCAGGACTTAACATTTCTATCTAGGGAATTAAACCTGAGTAATTGCTCATAATGTTTGTTTTGTTAACTACCTATTATGAAGATGAATTAACTAGAATGGACTTGAGTCTACCAGTGATCAAGGAGAAAACTGCTAATGTGCAAAAGCTCATGAACTATTTTCTTAGTTAATAAATTATTTCATGTCAACTAAATGTTGTATTGTGTCATCAACATAAATTAGTGATGGTGTATGTGTCTAAGTCTAGAGGAATCAGTGAACCTAAAATAAATCAGACCAACAGAAGTGTAATAATTTTTGCAAGGTATTGAATGTACCACTTAAGATGGTTATGCTGTTATCACTGGTTTAGTATTTAAGATTAAAATTTGCCTGCAGTCCAATACCATTTAAAGGGAGGAGGGTGAAATATAAAAAAAAAAATAATTACTAGGAAGGTCTCATTAATGGTGGGTCTGTTAAATAGCCTCCTGCAAGCACACCCTTCCCTTACAAAATTTATGCCTCTCTATGTATTAAATGATTGCCTGTCCACATTGTGCCATGTATGCATTTTTAATTATTCTACAATTTAAAAATCTGTAGTAGTGTTTTTATATAAAAAAATTACTGTCAAATACAAAATTTCAGAGATATTAAATTATAATTTTGCATTCAGATTCTGTGTTATTAAGTAGGAAGAAGATGGTTCAACAGGGCATATAAAGCAACTTATAAGCACCAAATACTAATTTTTAAACGTAGCGACAGCTAGTCATGTTTTTGTGTCCTTTTAAGTAACTTTAACAGAGTTCTAAGATATTCAAAGAAACATTGAAATGTAAGATTTTAAACTTCTAGAGCAAAAACCTTCTAAGCTTTTGCTCCAGCAGCCATGATTTTCTCTGACATGCTTGATGTGAATTTTCACATGACCTTTTCAGGGTTAGGGCTAAGACTAAGAAGTTTTACCAATAAGGGAGAAGAAAAGAGTCAGGCAGAGGAGCAAAGCAGAAGTGTAAATAGTGAATGTGGTTTGGAATGAAGATATTTGAATCTGAATAGTGAGTTAATGATTCAATTAGTTTTTCACTTTGTTAAACTACATTAATCCTTCTTTATCAGGTCCCCATATTGAAGCCCTTTGAAAAGTAAAATGCAAAGGATCTTAAGAAAAATCCTAAGAGACAGAGCCTTTTAAAATCATTAATGCTTCCCAAATACATGCTGCCTATTGGCAATGATGTGGATGTAGGGTAGATATTGTTATAGAAGTCTCAAGACTTGAATAGGGATAGTTCCAATGGCCATACAGTTGTTGTGAAGTGGTTCCTATCCGAAGTAAGCTTACAAAATGTGTACTCTATTTTTAAACCATGGAAAGAGAGTAATTTTAAGCTAAGAAACTGGGGAAGAGGGGATTTTAAAATATCTGACTAAATATATAAGCAGAATATTTCAAATACAAATTCTTACTAAATTGGAAAGGTAAAAATGACTATTGAGAATTTCTTTTTTACATTCTGTTGTGCATTTAAATCTTCAGCATCTTCTAAATTTGTAATATAAACCCAGAGACTAAAAACTTTAAACTTAGATTATCATTGTCATTTTTGTTATCCTTATAATCATCATCAAAAGCATTTTGTTAAACATTTAGGCATACCTGATGCAAATCTAACAAATTAAAGGGGAAGTCCCTGTCCTGAATATTTACAATTTAACAGATGTTAAATTGTTTCACTAAATATACAAAGGGCATAAAGAGAAATGGAAATTTGCTAAAGAAAATTACCCACAGGATAGTGAAAACTCAACCAAGGCAGCCTAATGATACCAAGTCAAATTGACAGAATTCATAAAGATTCTGAATTTTTACTGGAAATGGGTTTTATTTCAAACACAAATCAAAACTCAAACTCTGTTAACAAATATATGGTAATACTCTGTTGGAATCTGCTTTAGCTTGGTTACTTTTAAATTACGCTTTGTCTCTATGTTTATGTGTAAATGTGTGGGTTAGACAAACTATTTTTTTTTTTTTTAGATGGAGTCTCGCTCTGTTGCCCGGGCTGGAGTGCAGTGGTGTGATCTCAGCTCACTGCAGCCTCCGCCTCCTGCATTCAAGCGATTCTCCTGCCTCAACCTGCCAAGTAGCTGGGACTATAGGCGCGCACCACCATGCCCGGCTATTGACAAACTATTTTTTCTTTCAGTATGTTAAGCATTTTTCAGTGTAATATTAATTTTATATCCTAAGTGATTTTTTTCTGTTAACTTATCTGTAGGTAAGCCCAGTCTAGCTCTAAATTGTCATAAAGTTGGACTATTACTGCTTTTAATAATATCAGGTAGCAAATGAATTTAGTGGTAGATGTAAAGAAGAAGAAAACCGTGGAAGTTGCAAAGTTGTTCAGTTTGAAGACTAAGAAAAAAACAAACACTTACAAGTTAAAGGTGTTTTAGTTAACCTATTAGCTAGAATATAAGATAGTCTTTTTAATAGAATGGTTTCTACAGTATTTCCACATTCAAAGTAATTTTTACATACAATATTTGATTTGACCTAGGAAATACTTTGTATTCTATGAAGGTACCAAGATATTAAATGATGCTTTATAGGTGTAAAGGTAGAGTCAGGGAGAAAGATCAGACATGCAAATGAGGAAATTAACTGAAAGAAGAAACAATTTAGGTGAAGTTGAATCCACATGTGACCCTTAATTGATACAAATACAAGAAATGGCACCTCTACTTTTACATAGATAGGGGGTGTCATCAAGAGCCTGAAGTCTGACTGCTTGGCCGACCTTGAGCAAGTCATTTAAATTCTCTGTGACATGGTTTCCTCATCTGTAATGTAAAGATAATTGTCATTCTACCTCCTTGACTTATACTGAGGATAAAATATTATGTATGTGAAATTTTTAAGCCAGTGCCTGGCATTTACCAATTGCTCAATAAATGTTAGCTATTGTGATTATCTAGATTGCCTTGGTCCAAACACACCATAAAAATTTCTCATTTTAAGGTTGAAAATTATGACTCTTCTAGGGCATATATTGGAAAAGAGGGAAGATGTTACTTGGGGGAATCAGTGGAAAGTTCTGGACGTGTTTTTCAAATATATAGGAATAGAGGGTATGACTTCTCAAATTAAACATAAGGAACTAAATCCTGTTACTTCATTTATTAAGTTTTAGGAAATAAATTATTTCATTCCTCTCAATATTTCAAAAACTCCTTTCACATGATGGTTTTCATCAAGGTGTTATTTGATTCTTTAAACTTTCACTCTTTAAATATTAGAAAATAAAAAAAAGAGTAATTTTAGAAGTCCAGATCTGTGCAAAACCTTAATACAGATAAAAGCATTTTTTAATTTAATGGTCAGGTCTGGAAAAACAATGTTAATCTAAAACTCAGTTACTACATGTATCTTTTAAATATATTTTAACATGTCATTAAATACCTATTGATTATAATGATAAAGTTAACTATGTGTTATAAGCATTTTTTCCTTATTATATATTTCCTATATCATGCATTGCATAAAACTGACTAAAAATCTATTCTCACTGCTTTTTCCTGGCTCAAATATGGGTTATTGCACTCAATTTGCCTCATAGTAGCTTTTTGGGAGGATCAAGCTACTTTTCTTTCTCATCCAAAACCTTGTGTAAGATGAGTAAGTAACATGACTTTGATCCCTAAAGAGCAATTAGGCTTTAAAATACTGGATCTTGTTATTCTCTCAGTGTAGGGTGTAGAGCGTAGTTTATAACACATAGTTTCAACAAATCATACCAAAGTATTCCCCCAGAAACTCCAGTGCCAAACATTTACAACTTTCACCAGATGAATAATCCTCAGCTTCTTTAAGAAAACAATTAAAAATGTGGAACTGATTAACCAGAAATAGGTTTTTATCAAAGGGATTTTAACAAAGGCACAGTATTTTCTCTTGGAGGGAAAATTGAAGAAAAAAAAGACATTGGAAACAAAACAAAGGAATCAAAAATCTATTATTGTGAGTGTTCTGTGAAACACTATAGTACTTCATCACAAGTTAACTTTTAGTTAGAGCTGCCATTTGCTAAGCATTAAATCATTGCTGAAGAGTTTTACAAGCAATGTGAATGTTGAATATTTGGATTTTTTTGCCCAAGGCAAACACTTTACATCCCTGGCTAACCTATCCCAGATTAAAACAGTTAAAAAAGAAAACATAAGGCCCATCCCTCTTTTTCAAAAAGGAAAACCACATTCTTTCATTACTGTAGAGTGATCCTCTCAGAATTAGGGAAAGAGGGCCAAGAAAATGCAAAAACAGGTAACTTCAGATGACACTTTCAGAATTTTTCTTTCTTCAGGTCCCTGCAATTATAGTTACCATTCCAAATACTAAAAGAGCATCAATCATACCCATAAATAGCAGTACCCTTCAGTCTAAATCTGGAGTCATCATTTATGTTAAAACATTCCATATATTTAAAAAAAAATATGTCATACCTTTCTTTTTGAATCCTTTGCTTTGTTGACAAGGTCGTTGCCCTGCTTTACTGATTAACAGGTGGGAATCTGTACTGGTGACTTTTCATAACAAAAACAAAACCTGTATTTCAGGAATGCTTCTTCAGCATTTCCTTGTATCCTTGCCTGTTTTCTGCTTCTACATGTTCAGCTAGTTAGTCAATTATGTGTATATGTTCAAGGCTGATTTTTCCTGTGTGCTTAATATAATTAATTCTCCTTTATGAATAACCCTTTAGAGGAAGACATTGATGAAAAGCAGCCAGCAATCCTTTCTGCAGATTGAGTTTATGCCCCATTTCTTTTAAACACATTGTCTTCACAAATAATATTTTCTGGCATTAAAATATTCTACATCCTGTTGAATGTTTGGCTGAATTGTTTTCCTCCTAGTCTTAAAAAATTACATTGGCTTTTCAGTTATCTCCTGGTAATAAATCTTGAGGACCAAGCATAGTAGCTCACTTATCTCTGCACAATCCCACGTGGTGGAGCAGTGTGGGCTTGTTTGCGTTACTTTAAAGATCTGAAGTGAGGGTGAATGGAGAGGTGAGTAAAGCAAAATGTGTTTCAAAGGAGTTTTTGAATTGCACTTGGAAAGCATTTTATTTCTTATTAATACTGAACATCAAGGCACATGTTCCTCCTTACCACGAGATAAGACTGACCCCAAAAGGCTAGTTGTCATCAATGATTGCACTTTCTAAAAATTCAAAGGTCATGTGGAGTTAAAGATCCATCACAGTTCTTAAAAAAGAATGGAAAGGTGGACAGGAGTGGAGAAAAAGGGGGTTACTCATGCATACAAAGCACTTTGAAGATAAAAGCCTCTAATGAGTGTTAATAATGATGATGATAACATAATAACACACCCTTCAACATTTAGTTAGCTACTTCCTCCACAACATTTTTGGGTTGTAAGATAGAGAGGTTTTGATTGAGAAAAAAAAGTGCCACATTGGCTGAAGAAGAAAAATTATATATGCTTAAATCATTAGTTGGTGCCCAAGTCAGTCTTAAGGACCCTTAATGTTCAGCTTCAAAGAGGTAAGATAAGCATGGCCAACACCGGGTAAAAGGTAAACACATTACCAAAAGTCCTACTTCCTCCATCAAAGTCAGAAGGAATGAAGAAAACATTCGTCATATTTTGCTGTAGCAGAACATGGATTTCTTCATATAAATGAGTCTCACGTTGTAATTGAAAAAAGGTGGCATTTAAAAATCATGTATTAATTTTAGTTGTATACAACCTTCTGTTGCATGTTTATCTTGCAGGATTACTACTAACTTACCACTGGTAAGAGACGGTCCATTGCAACATTGCTACAGAATTGAAACATTTATCAAGTATATTAAAAGAAATTGTATTATCATTAGGTTCAAATATGACAAGTTAAAGTCCAAGTAAATGAATAAAACTCTCAAAATAACAAGGTTAAATTTTTTTTAATTTTAAATTGGCTGTTTAGCAAAATAAACTTAAAACTCAAGCTAGTTTTAAAAGTCACCATTCTGATAGTGAAATGTAATAAAATTTTTCATGATAATGAAGGCATGACCTAATTTAATTTCTAAATTAAGGGTTTTGAATAATTATGTGAGTAGACCCATTAGTCAACTTACAATTGAAGTTATTTCTATATTTTAAAAATTATATACATTATAAGGAAGGAAAAGGGAGTGATTCTTCCCTGGTTCTGATAATTTATTCTGTGAAGTGGGAGACTTGTTAGTGAAACACTCATACTGTCTCACCTCCCTCTCACCTGCGAGGGATAGGCAGGGTATTGTGGAACTTAGTAAACTGGGATGGGCTATATTGGTTTTACCCAAAGAGCTGATGCCCTCAATGGGACTTTATTATACAGGTTTCTATAGCTTGATCTTGAACTTCATGAATGTTGGCCTCCTAACACATGTGCTCAGGCTCCTCAGGAAAATTTGTAGACCCAGGCTTACTATAAGGGCCTCGATAAATTGTAGAGGCAAATATTTCCTAGAAAAATAGCCTTTTTCTCTGAACAGATCTTTTAGGCATTGGTAGGTGGAATATAAAATCTACTGATTTTTAAATTGCAAAAATGCTGTTTGGGACAGAACGTTTTTTATCCTTCCAAAATATATATGTTGAAGACCTAAACCCTAACACAATGGTATTTGAAGGTATAGTGTTTGGGGGATAATTAGATTTAGATTAGGTTATGAGCATGGGGCCCCCATGATGGCATTAGTGTCCTTATAAGAAAAGAGAGACCAGAGATCTCCCTTTCTCTGTCGTTTGAGGACAATGTGAGAAGATGGCCCTATGCACACCAAAGAGAGCCCTTGCTAGGAACCGAATCTGATGGCACCTTAATCTTGGACTTCTCAGCATAATTGTGAGAAATAAATGTCCATGGAATATCAATCTATGGTATTTTGTTACAGTAGCCCAAACAAACTATACAAATGTTGAGTTCAATGTGCGATACACAACACAGATGAGGTTCTAGAATTAAATTGTTAGTGTCAGGCATAAGTAAGCAGTGCACAGTGGGAATGTAAGTCAAGAGCTTCTCAATATGAGTGGGGGAAAAAAGTGTACCTAAAATAAGTCGTGTCATCATTACAAATTTGTAAATATTGCAAGATATCATTAATATCTCAAATACTCCAAGAGGAAACATGCTTAGGTAGAATATTCTTTATAGAGGGTCACAATAATAGCACAAAAATCTGCTCAGGATAATTCTTTCAGTAAAATAAATTGATAGGCAATTAGCACAGACGACTGGCATCCTTGTGAGGCTATAACAAGGAAGAGTTATAGCTGTCCTACTTCATTCAAACACTTCTGAGCCTTTGCTTCATCTTTAGGAACATATGTGCTGTTTTCTAGAAATAGGATTGCATTGTGGAAAATTACTGTCAAGACCGGGAATGGCTTGCTTTGAAGCCAGGGCTATCATCATTTTGCAAATCTTATCAACTTATTGTAGTCTCCAAAAATTTGGGATATTTGAGATTTGACATTGAGCTAATTCAGCTTCTGAAATCCTTAAGGAAGCATCCATATTCCTGTAGGACATGGAGCAGTAGGCTGAAGAAACTTCAGTTTCACCTAGACAACAATAATCTCCAAAGTTAAAACAGAATAGGATGAGGTAAAGGTGAGATAGGGTGATGGATGTGTTATCTTGGACTTTCAGCTCAGAAGAGAGAAATATTTTACTTCTTACCTAAGATTCCCTTGATCTTTGAAGTTGGTTTTAAAACTAGATCTCTTTGGGAATGTGATAAAGAAAGGTATTTTATTGAAATGTGAGGCTTCTTTTTTTCTGACATATTATTACAATATGCTGATTTATGTAATTATTGGAATATCACTGTGATGTTACATTCCATATAAGATATAATGGAAAATGTGAATAGACATCAGTTGGGATAGGAAATAGAGCAGACAGTGTACTTTAGCTTTAGGTACAGAGTGATCTTGCAGTTGATCTAATGTAGATCAATCACATAATGATTTAAATCATTTTTGGGTGGCCAAGTATTTTCCATTATATGTTCCCCTAAGAGAACACCCAGAAGAGTAGTAGTTGGCATTAGGAGCATAAACGAGGAAACATGAGAGTAGCTGTCCGTTTAGCTTGTTGTTCTACATCCCATCCCTGAGGGCAATAGGCACTCGTTGGGAAATAACAGTCTAAATGGGATAATAGCATAATCAAGGGTTAAAGTGAGGTATTCTAGTGAGATACATTTAATTCTTTTTTCCTAACAGTTCTTTAACATTTAGAGAGACATACATTAGCATAACACTACTGGTTTCTCCCCAGCCACTCCATCATCCCTTCTCTGGGGTGGAAGAGAGACCTACCAGACCTAACAGGAATCTAAGAGAAAGTGGCCAGGTCCCTCCTCTCTTTTTTGTTAGGAGTGAGCTGTCTAAAGAACACATGCTGTGCTATAAGACACACTCAGCCCCTTCAGTGGCAATGGGTTCCAGGCTCACAGTGCTATTTTGTGGTTTGGGGAAGGAGGTGGTATTCAGAGATAGGAGAAGCAAGACTAACTCCAATGCAGTTAGGAAGCTCAATAATGCTGCATATATAAACTCTAACTCTAATCTCAGCTTTATCATCGATGGAAAGTTTGTTTTGTTTTGCCACCTTGTTTACTTTCTTTCCCAATTTGCTTCAAGTCCAGGTGGAGAAAAAGAATATTATTTTGGGGACTCCCAAACCTCCAATATTATATATATAATATTGAAGATGTTACCAATATTGCACTTATGGTCAGTACAAAGCTAAGAGAGGAAGCCTGTTTCTTAGATTTGACATTAACAAATAATTTCTCCTGCCAAATCTACTAAGTGAATTAGTGCCAAATTTAGAAATGTATCTATTAGGAGAGAAGGAGACTACTTAGTAATTGGTAATAAAATGGCAAAATTGTGGGCGTCAAGATAAGCCAAAATAAGCCATATTTCATTTAATGGCTTTCTTTTCAATACCTGAAAAAGGCATATTATGAAAAAGTTGATTCCCTATAATTAATTTTTTAAAGCAAGACTGAAAAACAGAAAAACATAATAGAATATTCTAGCACCACTACTACCCCACCCTATCTCCTACCCTTTCTCTTTTCCCCCATCTCCCATCACACATATAATATAATGTTACCTAATGTTTATCAACATGTCCAGAACAATACACTGTTTGTAGAATAGCATATGCTAAGTTTGTAGAATACAATATGCTAAGTTTGTAGAATACAATATGCTAAGTTTGTAGAATAGCAATATGCTAAGTTTGTAGAATACAATATGCTAAGAATTGTAGTTATCACAATTCTTCAAATAGGGACCATTCATTTTTCAGATGAGGCACCTGACGCTTAGAAAGGTTAAATAAGTAGTCTGTAGTCCCAAATGTAGTGATGAGCAGATCCGGGATTCAAACCAAGGTTGGTCTGAGTCCAAAGCCTAGACAGTGAGGCCCTAAACCATCTGATTTTTGGATTATATTGCCAATGAAATTAACATGTGCCATGAGTGCAGCTGAGATTTCTTGTGCTACTTGTTATGTTATTTTCTAATAATTCTTTTCATTTGCATAATATGTTACTGCAGAGGAAGGTCAGCCCCTTTTGATAAAAGCATAGATATCCACATAATATTCCAATTCTTATTTCTTCTTGCCTTATGAAGGGTGAACATTTCATGAATACTACTTTATGGATGTGATTTTTTTAAGCTATAGGAAAGCAAAGTGGCAGTCTGCAGGAGTTTATACATTCCCTATCTCTTTTCCAGAATAAATCAAAGACAATCGAGTAGTGTGACACAAGATCTGTTCACAAGGATGTAATTGTGTAAAATTATTATATAAAAACATCTTCTGCAAAAAAGAAAAATAATTATATAAAACAAAGTTTTCTAAAGTTACTATAAAAGAAGTAGAATAAAATCAGGCACAACCAGCATGACACAGATAACTTGGGAGCTCTCCCATTTATTCCATAAACAAATTTTAATAGAAGACCAGGGTTACATTAAAAATTTAACTTCACAAGTTTTAGTCTTTCTTGAAAATGCATTTGCTTATCATATGCAGACTAATGGTTTGCATGAAAAATGCAGTTTGTAACGTATTATGGAATACCACTAAATGCTTTATGTTCTTAAAAATATTTTCCTTTAATGATACAGTCCAGCATACATAATTTAAGCTAGAGGCCTACACTAAGTGTGTACAGTTAATTTTGATTTAGGTTTATCACCTTACGGAGGACACATAACATTTTTATTTTGAATCAAAGAAAATTTTTAAAAATTATCTTGTATGTTGTAATACATATCTGACACGTATTTCATTTTGTGCAGTGTTTGGGTGGAGGAAATTCTGCCATTTATTACCTCCATTGCTTATCATAAATCAGAAACCAGGTGCCATTAAATATTCTCAGCAATACTTTGAGGTATGTATTATTTATCCTAATTCATAGAAAATAAAGCTTTCGACTCAGAGAGGTTACATAAAATGGGCAATGTCACATTGCTAGTTAGCATCCGAGAGGGTTCAAGGGGTGCAAATCAAGCACAGCAGTGTATGTTTTTATTCACAAGTCTATTTTACTTCCCAACATGCTAAGAATTGTATCTTATCAACCTTTTCTTGGTAGTGTACGGTTGGTATTGCCTTCATTTTTTTATCATAGAATTTCAATTCTTATGAGGTTTTTCCTTAAGTATAATTTCTTTTTCAGCCTAATAGTCTTTCAGTTCTATCTCCAGAATCTTTGTAACTACTAAACTGGCTTAAGGACTTAAATCTAGATGAGATTAAAGATTAAGAAGCTTGAGAATAACAAGATAAACATTTAATCAGTTTTGTCTTCAGACTGAAATCATGTAAAGCTTAAGCTTGCAGAGAAATGGGCAAGAACAATATGGCAACTGCTTTAGGCCTTTTATGAGTGTAGAGTTATTTAGTATCACAATAATTAAGCCATTTTCTTAGGCTACAATTCAGTCTCTCAGAATTTCTGTATGTATAAATTTCTACATACCCCTAAAGTCAGTGAACTAAATCTCTTCAAGATAAAGAATGATGACCCATTTTTCAATTCCCTTGATTCTATAGGGCTGTACTGTAGGTATGAAAACATTTACCTTATCATTATCCATGAGTTTTCTTTTTCTTTATTAATTGCTTTCTTCTTAAAGGAAAACACACCAATTCAGTTATAAAGTCAATGCTAGAGCTCTGGTTGTTTTATGAGAACTCTGGACCTACTTTTTGTTTGCAGTTTTAAATGAAAAAAATACACAAACTGTCCATATGTTCTCATGAAAAAATAATTATATCAATACAGGGGATTATCTTAGTATTTATGTGTGTCACAATGTCTGTATAGAGGAGGAAAGCCTTTTCCTCTACCCTATTAGGTTCTATGGCTGGGCCTGAGAATTAAACTGAGAAAAGGTAGATTTGCAGGAGAAAAGCCTAAAACTTTTATTTGGTTTTAATATTTTTACATGTATGTGGAAGCTTTCATATATAAGAAATGAAGACTCAAGAAGTGAATAGGTCTTATATACCTTATAAGTGCTAAGTCAGGGATGTCTAATCTTTTGGCTTCCCTGGGCCACAATGGAAGAATTGTCTAGGGCCACACATAAAGTACACTAATGCTAACAATAGCTGATGAGCTAAAAAAAAAAAAAAAAAAAAAAAAGTAATCCTAAAAAAAAATCTCATACCGTTTAAGAAATTTTGCAAATTTCTGTTCAAAGCCATCCTGGCCTGCATGCAGCTTGTAGGCCACAGGTAGGACAAGTTTGCTCTAAGAATTACATAATGAGAGCATATATACCATTTTAACACTGCACAGTAAATTGTGGAGATATACTAAAATAGAGGAAAAAGAGGTTTGGGCTAGGGACAGTAAACTGTGGGAAAGTAATTAGTAAATATAAAAGGAAAAGGAATAGAAGATAATGGTTATTTTAGTAAGCCTGTACAGATTCATCTCAGTGTTAACTCCCCATTTCCAGTGATAAGAATATTCCCCTCTCCCTGCTCTAAGAACAGTTCCTTTCACAAATAAAATTTATGCTTTGGTTTTAGGTAAGAAGGAGCAGTCAGAGAATTCTTCCTGTATCTGTTGTTTCTTAATTGCTTTCAGCTCAAAATAATGAATATGCCAAAGTGGCACATTTTGGGATAGTGTATTTTGATCCTCTTCATTTACAAATAACTTTTTTGTCTTCTTTGTCTTATTATTTCTATAATTTAGATTGTTGCTGTTGTTTTCATATAACATCAGTTAGACCTTCCAGAGCAATGCTGACTAAGAATGGAGATGGTACGTTTCCTTAATCTGTTTCTAATTTTTATTTCTAGTTTCTTAAGAGAGCATCTTTCTTTCTTTCTCCTCTCTTTAAAACTAGAGGCGAGTGTCCAATCTTATCTAATATATAATAGGCATCTATATAAGATAAATTTTCACTTTACATCTTATAATATAGCAAATAGTGATATTGAAATGTTATTCTATTTCTGGAGTGAACCAACCCCAGTCATGACATATTAATCCTTTAGTATTTTTCTGGATTTGAACTGCTAATATTTTATTTAGCATTTTTTGTTCTTTATTTATTTCCCTCTGACATGTAAGTTTAGGCTAAGGGTGTGTATGTGTGTGTGTGTGTTTGTGTACACTTGTGTTCACTACCTTTGCCAGCTTTTCACAGCAGAGTTGTGTTAAAAATGAGTTGAAACATTGAACATTTTTCTATGCTGTTTATAACTGAGGTGGCAGTAATCAACCATTACATGAAGTTTTGCTAGACCTCATCTATAAACCTATCTTGGTCTGATGCTTTTTGTAACACATATTTGACTAAATTTTACAGTTCTCTCCTGGTTATTGTCTATTCAGATTTTCTATTTTTCTTTTTCTTGAACCAAGTTTGGTGATTTATATTTTCAAATCTCTTCCAATTCATGTTTTTTTCAAATATATTGAAATAAAAGTATCTTAATTAGTCATAAAATGTTTAATATATTTTATTTGTCTCAAGTTTTGTCCCAATTCTTTTTCATAATGTTGTTTTTATCTATTCATTTTTTTCATTACCTGACAAGAAGTGCAAAAAAAATCAGCTTTTTTGTTGTTTTTTATTTTATTAATTTTTATTTTTAATTAATTTAATCTAACCGATTTGAGGCTTTCTCCTAGTTTCTTGGATTATACCGTTAGGTTATTACTTTTTATCTCTCTTGTTTACTAATATGAATGTAATATATTAATTTCCTAATGTTCCATCAGTGGATCCTATGGTTGGATTATCTGGAATTTTAATTCCGATTTATGTGAAAATTTTTACATGGTGAATGAACAAACTTTATACTTAACTATAAGTGTTAATATATTTTTGTTGCTTTTATTTGGCTATATTTCCCTCACCATGGTTTCTTGTAATCCATGCTTTCCTTTTCTTTGAATTCATATTTTAATTTAAATTTGTTTGTTAATCTTTCAGAATTGCTTATTCGTATGTTCTGCAGTAAGTTCTTTCATTTCAATAAATGTTTACAATTTATCCTCACACTTAAATGCTGACTTGACCTTATATGGGATTTTATCAGGGAAATTCAGCCCCCGATATTTCATGTGGGTGCTTTTCTATTTTCCCTACATGTCGGCCGGTCTGAGAAATAAAGGGAAAGAGTACAGAAGAGTGAAATTTTAAAACTGTGTGTCCAGGGGAGACATCACATGTTGGCAGGTTCCATGATGCCACTCAAGCCGCAAAACCAGCAAGTTTTTATTAGTGATTTTCAAAAGGGGAGGGAGTGTATAAATAGGGTGTGGGTCACAGAGATCACATGCTTCACAAGGTAATAAAATATCACAAGACAAATGGAGGCAGGGCAAGATCACAGGACTGGGGTGAAATTAAAATTGCTAATGAAGTTTTGGGCATGCATTGTCATTGATAACATTTTATCAGGAGACAGGGTTTGAGAGCAGACGACCGGTCTGACCAAAATTTATTAGGCAGGAATTTCCTTGTCTTAATAAGCCTGGGAGCACTATGGGAGACTGGGGTTTATTTCATCCCTTATCTATAACCATAAAAGACAGACGTTCCCAGAGCGGCCATTTTAGAGGCCTATCCCTAGGCATGCATTCTCTTTCTCAGGGCTGTTCCTTGCTGAGAAAAAGAATTCAGCAATATTTCTCCTATTTGCTTTTGAAAGAAGAGAAATATGGCTCTGTTCTGCCTGGCCTACGGGCAGCCAGACTTTAAGGTTATCTCCCTTGTTTCCTGAACATCGCTGTTATCCTGTTCTTTTTTCAAGGTGCCCAGATTTCATATTGTTTAAACAATTTGTGCAGTTAATGCAATCATCACAGGGGCCTGAGGCGACATTCATCCTTAGCTTACGAAGATGACGGGATTAAGAGATTAAAGTAAAGACAGGCATAGGAAATCACAAGGGTATTGATTGGGGAAGTGATAAGTGTCCATGAAATCTTCACAATTTATGTTCAGAGACTGCAGTAAAGACAGGTGTAAGAAATTATAAAAGTACTAATTTGGGGAACTAATAAATGTCCATGAAATCTTCACAATTTATGTTCTTCTGCCATGGCTTCAGCTGGTCCCTCCATTCAGGGTCCATGACTTCCCACAACAGGATTTGATATTTCAAAGCATTTTTACCAGTAGCCGGTTTTCCTTTGTCTTTTAGACTCCCATCAATGAGAAACCTAATATTAGTCTCATTATTAATCTTTTGTAGATAGCTTTAAATTTTTTATCTCTATGCTATGTTTTTAGCACATTATTTTTATTATTAATGTTTTTAAATTGCACTCATATATTTCTATTTTGGCCACTTTTATTTTGCATGGAAATTGGTAGACCCTTTGGATCTTTAATATTTCTTTAGTATATTTTTGACAGTATAGTGTTTATTTCTTCTATTTATTCATTTTTTCTTTCTTTTCTGCTTTTTCTCTATAGTCTCCTTTTTGAAATCCCACTATATAGATATTAAATATTCTGGATTTGTACTCTGAATATCTTGAATTTTCTCATACTTTTCAATGCTTTATCTTTTTACCATTCATTGTGGAGGATTACCTTCTATCTCTAATTGCCTTTTCATTGTGCCCATTCTATTCTTAAACCATTCCTTTTTTCTTACTTATTTTGCTAATCAAATAATTTAATTTCATTATCACTAATTATTTCTTTGATAGCATATCTGTCTTATTTTATGAATGCAGTATCTCTTTGAATGACTCTAAGTATTACAGTTATTCCTTTTTTCCCCTTTATAAATTTATCTCCTCAAAAGTTTTTGTAAGTTTTATGCCTCTTTATCACAATGCTGGTTTTCCTCAAGTGCTTTGTGATGTTTCTAGGCTAGTATTAGGTCTGCAAAATAATTTTTTCCTGTCTTTACAGATCAGTATATGGAAGCTTACCTTGTTGGTTGGGAGGAAACACACGAATATTTGTGGTGGCAGAAACCAATAGTGGATTTTCTGAGTTTTTGTAACTCTTGGAGGGTTCATGGCTACCTGAACATGTTTATTTAAAAATTCTATCTTTATAATAAAAAGTTTGCTTTATTTTTATATATTCAGTAAAAATTTCAATTGGAGATAATTTAGATCAGAATATAAACGTAATTTAAGTTATAGTTTTATAATATCATAAAGGGTTAAAGCAAAATTTATTATACATCATAGTAAGTAGGCAATGTCCAGTCCTTAAAATTGAGAAAACCTAAGTCTGAATCCTAAATCTTAACTTTTTCTATATTTCTAGTGATAAGAATTAGAACAAGTTACTTAACTTTTCTGCATCTGTTTTCTTACCAGTGAAATGTGGTTATAATAGTAATTAGTTAATATTTTGTGTAAATATGAAAAGACATAACAAATATTACAGTTGGAGAAATGCATAGACTGTACTTGGTGCTCAATTGATGTTAGTCACCTCTTTAGTGCACATTGACATGGATGACACTGGCATCGTCTAGTATAAGAAAGTGGGTCGTGGTCAGATTGTTAAATAGAACCAGCTCTCCCATTATGAATTTGAGACTTATTAAACTCCCAGATATGTGTGTTGTTATATGGAAAAAGCTGTCTAAGTTTTTTCTTAATATTTATGACTGGACTATTAAAAAGAACAAAGGATAGCTATGTAAGTACTGATAAAAGCATGGATGTCAATTGACAAAAGCTAGTCTGAATATTAGAGTTATTCAGACAATACTTAGTGAATGTCTAAATATTTTAGGCACAGTTCTAAGTTCTGGAAGGGTGGAGTATTATTGAATATGTATTCTCATTGATGGTAGTTATGATCTTATTTGCAAAAGATACAAAGTAGATTTCATCTCTCAGTCTGTCATTATTCCTATAAATGGTATGTAATCAGCAATCCAGCATCAGGTAAGATAGGTAAGACACTGGACTGCCCCATTTCCTATCACATTATTCTACATTTCTTATAATCCATGATGGTAGGCTCAAATCAGTATGTTACGCCTTTTCATTGCATGCACACAGTCTTCTTTATAAAATGTAAATATTTAATGAAATGCTGAGTCATTTAGTAATCATAGGTGAATGCTAATTGATTTGTCATTAATTATCTTTCTTTTTGTCAGTAGGGACCTACTGAAGCCTAAAGGCATTAAATTTTTGAAAATAAAAAAGCTGAAAATATAGAATGAAATGAATACAGATGATATAGCATAGACCTATGATGGTTTCAAAGGCTATATTAAATAAAGGACTTAGCCTAAGTCACAACTAACCTATGCTGAGTCTGTTTAGGGCATATACATAAGCCTCTGTCCAAACGTGGGCCTTGTTTCCTTATTCCTGCCTAACCTCTCAGAGGTTAGGATTTCCCATACTGATATTTTACCTTTTATCCCCTTTCAAGGTATGTGGTTGTAGTTACCCCTTTAAAGTTTGCCAAAACAAAAGTAACAGTCCCCCATAATCAAGGGATTTATTAGATTTATTGCCTTAAAACAAGAGATTTATTAGATTTTTTAAGAAAGGGTACCGTGTAGCAGAGATAAAATATGCTGTTAACTGCAGGCAAAGCGATTCCAGATGCTGCTTGGCCATCTGGCCTCCTTGAAGTGTCACTCACTGGTTTCTGCCACACTGCTGTCCTGGCTCCACTATCACTTCACACAAAATTCCTGGGAAGGGCAATCAGAGGGCTCAGTGGACAGGTGACATGCAGACCTAATTCATGATTCTGGCAATCCCAACACAATATCTTTGGAATCTCCAAATCAAAATTGTCCTTCTCCTATTCCTTTCCCTTTCCCCTTCCCCACCACTGTCACTTGATCCTCTAGGTATGCATTGCATTCTTCAAATGAATAATTTGTGAGAATTAGGGCAAAAAAGACTATTATTTTCTGTACTTTGGTAAAATAAGGAGTCTGTGGTCAGTTGCCTTCCAGGCAAGCAGCAACTTCTCAAACAGGATTCAGAATATAAGGAGGTACTAGGAAACTGAGATTGCACAATTTATCCAAGGAACAAAAGTTTCAGGAGAACAATACAGCACTGTTTTCATAATCTCTTCAGACTAAAACCAGGACATTTCTCTGTATACAAAGGCAGACTTATTTGGTAAAGGACAGGAGGAGGTAGTGTAAGGAATGTTTTGAAGAAAAATATCAAAGTTTTTTTTGATAAATATTTAAAAGGCGCCTATTGGGCTACTTCAGGTGCGTGGTTCACCAACTGTCCTTGTCTAGAAAGAATCACGTATCAGAATGTTTCCTTTCTAAAGAGAAGTGATGTTAAGAGCCTAGTGATAGATATCTGTTAGCCCAAACTCCTTAAACACTTTTCCTTTCATATGATTTAGTTTTGGTTTGAATGTTCTAAAATATGCCATAGTAATCACAGATTTTAAATAACTATTTATAGGAACCATAACTCATTTTCCTTGTTTGCTACATTCTTTTATTTTTTATATAAAAATATTAGTCTCTTGTTATATTAGTCACAATAGGTTATGCTATCCTGCAAAACTGAAATCTCACTGAATTAGCACACAGGAGCTCAGGCAAACTCTGCTATGTGTCCAAAGGCGTCTCAGGGTAGCTCCCAGTTGATGACTCAGGGATCCAGGTTATCTGTATCTTTGGTTCTACTGTGTGTCCAAAGGCTTCTCCAGGTGGCTCTCAGTGATGATTCAGGAATCCAGGTTATTTCCATCTTCCGCTCTGCTCCAGGATCTCAACATGTGGCTTCCAGGTCATCATATCAGGAGAAAAGGGTGAGTATGGAACCCATGTCTTCTTTTAAATGCCTTGATTCATAAATGATGCCCACGATTTTTGGACATAGAAAAGATCCCGTTACTCTACCTAACTGAAAGGAGTGGGAAAATGTGGCAGCATGTAGATAAATTAGGTAAATAGTAAATGCCTCTACTCGGGCCGGGCGCAGTGGCTCACGCCTGTAATCCCAGCACTTTGGGAGGCAGAGGCGGGTGGATCACGAGGTCAGGAGATCGAGACCATCCTGGCTAACACGGTGAAACCCCGTCTCTACTAAAAATACAAAAAATTAGCCAGGCGTGGTGGCGGGCGCCTGTGGACCCAGCTACTTGGGAGGCTGAGGCAGTAGAATAGCGTGAACCCGGGAAGCAGAGCTTGCAGTGAGCCGAGATTACGCCTGCATTAGGTCTGCATGTCACCTGTCCACTGAGCCCTCTGATTGCCCTTCCCAGGAATTTTGTGTGAAGTGATGGCAGGGCCAGGACAGCAGTGTGGCAGAAACCGGTGAGTGACACTTCAAGGAGGCCAGGCACTCTTGCCTGGAGACAGAGCGAGACTCCGTCTCAAAAAAAAAAAAAAAAAAAAAAAGTAAATGCCTCCACTCGGGCGGGGTGAAGTGAAGTGGCTCACGCCTGCAATCCCAGCACTTTGGGAGGCAGAGGCGGGCGGATCACGAGGTCAGGAGATCAAGACCATCCTGGCTAACATGGTGAAACCCCGTCTCTACTAAAAATACAAAAAATTAGCCGGGCAATGGTGGCGGGCGCCTGTAGTCCCAGCTACTGGGGAGGCTGAGGCAGGAGAATGGCGTGAACCCAGGAGGCGGAGCTTGCAGTGAGCCGAGATTGCACCACAGCACTCCAGCATGGGCAACGGAGGGAGACTCCATCTCAAAAAAAAAAAAGTCAATGCCTCTACTCTACTTGGGCAAGATTTTTCTCTTTCCTTTCTCCCTGTCATTTACTATATCTTTAAGTCATTATTCCATGTTCATATTTTTATTGTTTATATGAAAAAGGATAATAGGCAGTAACTTTTCATTCAATTTAAATAAGCCGATCACCACTAGTGATAATTAGTAATTAGATAATTTAGAAAAAAACCCTCATCCATATGATTCTACTACATAAGATGAAATATATGCTGTCAAATAATAGAGATGAAAGATGATCACCACAAAGAACATTTAAACATTTATTTTGAAGACTAGATTTTAGGAAGGTAGCTCCCAGGGAATAAATCACTAATCATATGCCTGAACAACAGGATTATCCTACATGTGGGAATAAAATTCTTTTAAATATCTGACTCTCCAATCACATCTTCCTAACTTTTCAGTTCAGATACTGACTGTTATATTCTAAGACTTCATCATTGAGTATTTTAATCGATATATTCTACTACTACTCTAGACTTCAGCCTCTTCCTGTATTTAATTATCTTTTCACCACTGTTAGATTTCACAGTTCATCATTATAACTATTCTATGTAAAATATACTTATCTCCCTTACTCTCTTTTTCCTCTATTACACTTTCTTGGAAAAAAATCTCAGCTCCTCATCCCCTCAACATCTATCTACTATGGATACCATTAGCTTTACTAGAGAAAATATGCATATGGATACCATTTCATAATCTCTAATCTCTTATGGACTTTAACACTGCACTCAGAAGTTGTGCTTTTCATTTCTCTTCTGAACATCTAAATAAACTCCATGTCACTAAAAATCTAATAGACATTTTTCCTTACCACCTTAGTCATCTTCACCTTTTCTTCCAACAGTGGGCAATTCTATAGGACTGCTCCACGTTCAGAGGTCTCTGGGGAGACAGCAGAAGCATTCATTGAAACAATATCAGGCCAACTTCTCCCTCTGACAATCCGGCTCCCTTCCTTCCTTTGTACAGATGTTGACTGTCCAGAGGCTAATCTCCATCCCAAAGTCTGCTTTTCAGAGAAAGCATTCGGTGGCATTTACTTGATCTCATTATTTAAGTCTCAGCTTAAATGTTATTATGAGAGCACTTTCCTAGTCTCCATTTTAGCACAGACTCCAGCCTTCCTCATAGAAATATTCTCACATAGTACCCTATAGTTTTTATTTATAGATCTTTTCATACTTTATTTCTAATTTGTTTTTCTTATTTACTACTTATTTACCCATATGTTTCTCATTTACTATCTGTCTGTTTGCCTTTTGAAGAACATGGCAGAATCATTGTTATCTTTACCAGCATATTTTTCCCCAGTGCCTAGCACAGGGCATAAATTATTGAAAGAATGATCGTCTTACTATGCTATTTGCTGGCACCCTGTTGTGATAACAGCGAATGAGAAAAGTGCTAGATACCCTCTAGAATAGCATTTTCCAAAATTTGGTCTGGAGATATAATATTCACACACACACAAACACACACACACACACACACACACACACACACACACACACACACACACAGCAGGAAATAGGAGAGAGAGAAGAGGATGAGGTCTAGTTGGTTACCTAGAACAATTTTTCACATAATGCCTATTAAAATATTTCAGAAATATTAAGTCTTAATAATAGGATTTTAGCAAAAGTGAATTGAATCTCAAAGTGTGCGCTGTGTTACAACAAACACTCAGACAGTGAACATAACCATATTGCTTTCTGAATAATTAAGTCTGCATTGTTTCTGAATAAAGGTAGTGTTTGCCACATGTACTTCATGTTGGAAAAACAAATTTCAACCAGCTTGCTGTATTAGTGATTCAGTGGATGTTTTTGGGTAATATACCCAAAATATACCCAAAAGTTTGGGTATAAATATATTTACTTTAAGTAACATACAAAATTCCATACAGCAATGACAAAAAGTTTCAGAGTTTGAACAAAATAGATGTTAATGAAGTATAATAATTCATTTCTTGTTTTTGACTGATTAAGTAGTAAATGACACAAGAAGTTTTATATAATTTGCTACAAAAAAGTAGAAAGCAAAAGATTCCTGATAGTTTTAAATCACAAAACAATTGTATTTAGAGCTCTTTATTAGATGATAAGCTTTTCAATGGTGTTTAGAGACTTACTGATTTTTGAATTTCTGAATAAACCCATATCTGTCCCATAGTTGGCATGTAATTAATGTTTATTAAATGAATACATGAACAAATAAATTTAAAATTTCATAAATGTATTATTTTATTTTACTCTAATAGGAACATTATAACATAGACAGCAGACCTGCTATTGATCCCATTTAGCAAATGAGACAACTGAGAGTCAAAGAGTTTAAGAAAGTCAATGTCTTAGTCAGAAATTGTTGGTTGCAATGAATAGCAATTCACCCAATTTAGCTCAGACAAAAGTAGAAGTTTTTCTGAGGATACAAAGAAATTTCAAGGAAAAGAGCAACTAGAAATAGAGGCAGGATTCAGGGATAAATGGAAAGTCACAAGATAGCTAATTACACACTCTCTGTCCTTCTGAATCTCCCCCTCTCTTTTTTCTCTCTCTCAAGCTACATCTCTCTTACTCAGTTTCTTTCTCGGGTTTCTCTTGATGGCTATTTCTCAAAGACTTTGGCATCCTCGTGTATTTGCCTTATTATGGTTTCAAATTGAGCTTTGATAGACTCCATATGACTAGGAACTAATACCACTTGAATAAGGATTTGATTCTAATTAAGGTAAGAAAAGCTATGAAAATTACACATGCCAACAAATGTAGGGAATGTATTATTCAGGTACAGTTATCTATAAGCCTAAAAGTTCTAACCATAAGACACACACACTAGTCCAAGTTCATAGTGCTAGTAAGTAGTTCAGTAAAAATGGACGGAAGAGATTTACATTTAGATTTAATTTCTGGTTTGGTCCTCATTCCATGTAGCATGGATTAATGAGCAGCAAGCAACTACACACCAGGAACCAGGCTAGATACCAGCCTATAATGCGAAGCAAAACCAGATTTTATTCCAACCCTCATGAATCTGGTAGGAGAAGTAGAGAGTAAAAATAAAATAAAAAACATAAAAGTGGTAAGTGTAATGAAGAAAAGGTATATGTTGCCTCGTGATATAGGCAAGGGACTGGACCCAAAGGTGGCAATTGCAGAGTGCAGAGGAAGAGATGTTTAAGTAAACATTGATAATAGGCCAAGAGTGGGAGAAAATAAGACATTTGAGAAAGAAAAAGTAAGCAGGCAAAGGTAATTATTTTGGTAATTTGTCCAAGAATATTTGAAAGTGATGGATCTTGAAAGGAAATGTAATGTAACAATGTTTGTATTTTGAAAAGATCACCATGTATGCAGTATGGAAAATGGAAATTAGCAGGTGAGAATATGGAGAAGAATGTGGGGGTTATTTGACTGGTAATAGAGACATTCAAATGAGGCTTTGAAAATCAACCTTGTTAATGAATGATTTTCACACCATGCCATGGCATACTAAAGCTGAGACCTAGTGCACAATCTGCTTAATGCTTTCTCCCTTACTTAGTGATTATTAATTTTATTCTTATTATTGTTAAAAATGCTGTAAAGTGATATGAACAATCTGCTAGAAATTCTCACGTACAATGCAGAAAGCATTGGCTCACAAATTCCTTCATAGGAGGGAGAATGTTAAATTGGTGTTAATTGCAACAGAATTTTCAGAATAAAGGGCTTGACTGCTGGTGCAAACTCAATATTGTATAACACCAAATAACTTTTAATGAAGTTACCAGTAATTTCCGTTTATTGGCAGTTATTTTTAAACTTCTAAATAGGGATTGTGCATGTGTATGTAAAACTTAAAGTTTACATTTTTTTTCCAATTAAATCTAATCTTTTACTGAGTTACATTAGAAATTTTACTTCCTAAGAGACTTTTTTTCCTTTGGATCAGGCTTTTACTTCTCCAGAGAATATTTTTCCACTGCTTTCCAGCAGAAAGCAGACTGCTTATTGTTGTTATTAGCTAACATACTGTAAGCCTGCACACTACTCATGGAAGAATTATGTCAATATTTCCCTATCTAAATGACAAAGAAAAGCCATTGCAGTGTTTTGGGTCAAAAACCTTTTTATAAAATGTGCCAAAATATGGGACTCCACAATTAGAGAGTAACAGCTGTAGTTGAGCTTTTTTGGGCTAATGGATAAATAATCTGTTGTCAAAATTAGTTCTTATATAAGCATATATATTTAGATGATAGACTGTAGTGACTTTGAAATTGTTATGGTCCACTGAATAATTAATGCATTTAAAAATAGAAACAATATGGAAAATCACATGAATCTGAATTGCTAGTAATATACTTTAATCCTCCTCAATTTGGTAAATGTTAATATATTTTTTGAAACTTGACCTCATCAATAGGTTATATAGGTTTGTGGAAAGACGTGGGAAGAAAAAAAAACTTTCTGGTAAAATGAATTTAAAATGGAAAATATACCAATCGAGTTGTATTAGATCAAGACAGCAACAGAAATAAAGTATAACCAAGATCAATGAATCAATCAGCAATTTTTTATTGATTGACAATTCCATGCAGTGGAGTATTGTTGACTCACTAGTAGATACAATTTCTAGAACTGGAGTCAAAATAGAAATCATCAAACATAATCATGTTGTAATGTAATAAAATATATGTGATCCCAGTTTAGTGGTGACAAACCTGAATACTGTAAATCATAATCGACTAGGAGTTTATAAGAGGCACTTGAAAATATTTTGTAGGAAGGATTACTGTAACCATCAAAAGACATAATTTATGCTAAGGAGCTTCTGATAGGAACCACATGCAAACATAAGCAATTTTTTATATATATTTATAAGAAAATGCATGTTACATTAAAACTTCATTTTCTTCTCCTATGTCATTAATATGGTTTTGTTCTTTTATTTCTTAAATAACTGTTACTGCACATTTGTTGGGTTAGATATTTGCTTTTAAGTGATTATTTCTAACTCTTTGTCATAGTGTTATATTAAAGAGTTCTATATTAACACTTCCTTCAAAAATAGAATAAAAAATCTCTAGTTTACTCCAGAAAAAGTCAATTTCTCATTAATAATTAATTAACTAGTTCAAGAAATACTTGTGTCTGCAGTTTGCCCAGCACTGTACAAGGTATTAAGCACATAAAGATGAATAAACATTTATTTCCTAGGTGTCCAATGGAGAGGAATTCTACTGTGAAACTAATCCTTCTGCATAGATTAGGTATTAGATTTATCTGTTTTCATAGTCATATGGTTAAAATGTATCATTTATCTCTTGGCTACTACTTTATTTCAAGATTTTGAAATAGGTGGGAACTCACACCAATGTTCCCTCAGCCCCATCAGCTATTTTCCCACAGACCAACCTTCATTATCCTTATAAACTATTCCCTACTCATTATTCAGAATCCAGCATCCTCAATCTCCATTATAAATGTATAAAATATACTGTATTCTCCTGGCTTTTTATAGTTATGAATTTTAAAAAAGGAAATTTGTAATGAATTGTTTAATACTTGCCTCTGCTGCTCTAATGAAACCTCACAAGAGTTGATCATGTTTATGGTATTTTTCTCCTATTCTCTGGTTCCTAGCTCAATGCTAGGCACTTGATAAATTAAAAAATGATTAATGGAACACAACATGGCTACCAGACCACAGAAATAGAAACCAGATTTTCACAAAAGACAATATGGTTTTGATTATTATCTGCAATTCCAAAGAAATTATAAATAAATTCCTATAATAGGAGGTTTAATGGAATTCTTGCAGTAGTAGATTGAGCTTAGTTTCACTTATGTGTCTTATATTTTAATCTTATTCATTTAAGTGTTTCTTAAGCATCTGCCAAGTCATGTGTAGTGATGCTGAAGAGCTTAATAGGGTAACTCCAGTGTACAAGAAACTCAAAGCCTGGTGAAAGAGGAAAATTCATTGCAATTTGATATACAAACTACTGTGGGTGTAATATACAGATTATTGTTGGACCCTCTGGAGCTAATAATCCATCTGAATATGAAGAATCAGAAGGATTTCATCAGTCCAGCCATAAAAAAGTAGATGTTAGGTAGAAAGAACAATATATGTATAGGCATGAAGGCGCTTCCCCTTTATAGAGCTGTCTGCTCCGTCATTGCAATACAAAAAGAAGCATGGCAGAAACGTGCACTTTCATAGTAAGTAGAGGCAGCTTACAGCATGACAAATGTACAATAAAACTATCCACATAAAAAGAAAAATGTTAAAATATAATTTAAGTAAGAGATGAGCAGAAAATCCAGGAAAAAAGGAATTTGCTTCAAATAAACATAAAACTTAGTCCTGAGTTTTCTGGAAGTAAAAATTAAAAATAAAATAATAATATCAAAAGAAGAAAATGAGATGCTGTTTCTTTAACATAATACAATTAATTAATTTATTAGGAGAGTCTAGCATTTCACCAATACCAAACTCAAAGAAATTATGAAAAATCTTTATTTGTAGTTGTTTGACATAATGACCAATGTCTATAATGAAAACTTTTAGATGATGCTAAAAACTTCTCAATAGGAAGGCTTTTTAAAAAAAAGTCCTTTAAAAAGTTACATTCATTTTCTGATTATAAAATAATGTAGGCCCGCTATAGAATATTTGAAAACTGTGATAGAGAATAAGGAAAGAAAATATCCCCTAAAATCATACCACCCAGAGCTATCACTGTGAATATTTAGATGTATTCACTTCCTGTCATTTCTTTTTTCTAGGTCATAGCTCCATGAACAGCTACATTATCTGGGATTTTCATTATTCTCATGACAGACTGTTTAGTGTACTTCCGATCTCGATGTAAATTCAGTACTTTCAAAAACATCCCCCAACTTAAAACTCAAGGAGCATATGTTTACAATGAAAACCTTTAGAAAATTTGCAGAAACTTCTCCATGAATATCTTTATAACATAACTGAAGATAATGGACTTGCAGGAATGGATCACACTGCATAAGATATAGCATTTCACCCAGTACATTCGCAGTAGACACCTTCTTCCCAAGTCGCTCTTCCCATCCCATTTCTGTCTTAATATCTAAAGCCTGGGGTCACAAACTATTGCCCACAAAATGTATTCATAGACACACTCGCCCCCACGCATGTGACACATACACTAGAGGCTCACAAAGTAGGAGAAATTATACAAATGTTTATGATTCTTATAAAAATCCACATTTCTACCTTCTCATCTTCAAACATATAGTTTTAATGTCTGTATAATAATGAAAATAGGAATATATAAAAATATATTAAGTCATCCTCTTATTGTAGAGAACAGTGAAACAAATATTTGTACCTGTGTTTGTGTGTGTTTTCACAGCATTAAATAACATCGTGAAGAAATCTTTGCATAGAAACAGTTGAAAGTAGTTCTGTTTATTTCTTTAAGGCCCAGGATCGCTTTTTAGAAAGATATGTCATTACTAGCTTGCCATATCCTTACCAGCACTGGGTTGATTCCTGTTTTAAAGATATATATATATATATCACACATACACAATCATTGATTTTTTTTTATTATACGTGTCATTAAAGCTCTTTCATCTGTACATATTTCACCTAGATTTTGCTTACACTTTAATGTGAATTTCCCGGTTCTTTTTTTTTTTCCTGGAGAAGTGCATCATGTAGGCCAAGTTAGGTTTTACTGAAGTAGATTTCAATGACAAAGGTTTTTGTTCTGCTTTCTATTTACATTCCTGCTACATGTCCTTGTGGGTTGACCGGAGCTCTGCTCCTTGTTGGTCTTGTCATCATGCTGGGACCCAACTGACAGAGCAGCCACTATCTTGGATTATATTTTCCTATTACACATCTTCTACATATGAAATATGTTTTTATCCTCCCATTTTATATTTCTATAATATATGGAATTAAACTGCATATAAATGCAAATTAGAAAAATGTATAAAATGTATTTAAACTAAAATGTTGTCTATTTTTACCAATATTTTTGAGCCAGCAAAGAAGCTGTCTCCTTGAAACTTTAGTGCTGATATAGCAAAAGAATGTGAGATTCTCTAAAAAGTATTTTCAAACTTGTAAATATGTTTCTCTCCCTGTAATCAAGAAGGATCAAAGTGTATAAGGGAGGGAACATGGCCAGCCTTTTGAAACACTCCTGTGAATGCCTTCAGAAGTGGAGCTCTTGGCAGCCTTAGCTCTGCTCTTCACTTCCAAGCAGGTGCAAGCCACTTCACGTTTTCTTTCTCAGCCTCCCGCCCTGCCCTCGTTTTGGATTCTCCTCTTGTTTGCTCACCTGTCACATTTCTTCTTCCATCTTTCACAATTCACATTATCTCCACCTGCCAGACCTCACAGTGGAGTGGGGCAAGAGGGGAACAGCATCACTGTCTGGAGCCAATTACATTATTTCTTTTTTATCTCTTCCCAGAAGGAATATGGTAAAACAATCAGAAACAAAATTGACAAATGATGTTGTGTTTCCTGTTTCCTTGCCATCCTGAAATTCTTTTGTAGAAAGCAAAATCCATTGTTCTTTAATCATTAAGTCTCTACGTTGAACTGTTCATTAAATGATGATCTTCAAACTATTTTTCCCTAGTTTCTAGTGCAGTCCTGTGTCACATAAGGATATTTCAGTCAATGACAGACTGCATACACGATGGTGGTCTCATAAGATTATAAAGGAGCTGAAACATTCCTATCACCTAGTGATGTTGTATCCAACTTAACGTCGTGGTACAATGCATTACTCACATGTTTGTGGTGATGCTGGTGTAAACAAATCTGTTGCACGGCCAGTCACACAAAAGTGTAACACATACATTATATATAGTAAATAATACTTGATCATGATAACAAAAAATTCTCTCGACGGTTCATATATTTACTATACTATACTTTTAATGGTTACTTTAGAGTGTACTCCTTCTACTTTAAAAAAAAAAGCTAACTGTAAAGCAGCCTCAGGCGGGTCCTTCAGGAGGCACTCCAGAAGAAGGCATTGTTATAGGAGATGATAGCTCCATGCATATTATTGATCCTGAAGACCTTACAGTAGGATAAGATGTGAAGGTGGACAACATTGATATTGATGATCTTGACCCCGTGTGGGCCTAAGCTAATATGTATGCCTGTTTCTTCATTTTTAACACTAAAGTTTAAAAAAGTAAAATAATATTTAAAAGTTTAAAAGTAAGAAAAAACTTATAGAATAAGGATATAAAGAAAGAACATATTTTGTACAGCTGTACAATGTATTTGTAATTTATGTTAAGTATTATTATGAAAGTCAAAAAGTTAAAACAATTTAAAAGTTTACAAAGTGAAAAAGTTACAGTAAGCTAAGTTTAATTTACTATCGAAGAAAGAAAAATATTTATTATAAGTTTAGTGCCTAAGTGTACAGTGCTCAAAGTCTACAGTAGTGTACTGTCCTATGCCTAGATACACAGATATGCAAATAGTTACCATTGTGTTACAATCATCTACAGTATTCAGTATAGTACTCATAGGCTTGTAGCCTATGAGCAACAGGCTATACCGTATAGCCTAGGTATGCAGTAGGCTATATCATCTGATTTTGTATAGGTACACTTTGATGTTGGCACAATAACAAAATTGCCTAATGATGCATTTCTTAGAGTGTATTTCCATTATTAAGCAACACATGACTGTGTTTTATATTGACACTGATTACTTGATCAATGTTCATTTTCCATACAATTCACTCTAAG